>NC_000003.12:198084559-198235559 GCF_000001405.40 Homo sapiens
CTGACAGTTAATATCATGCTCAATGATGAAACACTGAAAGCTGTTTCCCTAACATCTAGAACAAGGCAAGGATGGTGACTTTGCCCCTTCTATTCAACATAGCACTGGCAGTTCTAGCCAGAGAAATTAGGCAAGACAAAGAAATAAAAGGCATCTAAATTAGAAATAAAAAAAGAAGTAAAATTATATCTACACATTATCATATATCTATGAATCTCCAAAGAAAACACAAAACCCATTAGAACTAATAAAATAGGCAGGATGCAAGACAAACATATGCAAATTAGTTTTATTTCTATATAGTTGTAATGAACTATCAAAACATTTTTAAAATCCCATTTATAATAGCATCCAGAAATAAGATATTCAGGCATCAATCTAACTATGGTGGTATACACAAAACTTTGCTGAAAGAAACTAAAGAGAGTTGAAATAACTGGAAAGATATTCTGTGTTCATGGATTGTAAGACAATATTGTTAATATGTCAATACCATCTATAGTAATCTATAGATTCAATGCAATACCATCAAAACCCCAAAGACATTTTTTGCAGAAACAGAGAAACTCATTCTAAAATTCATACAAAAACTCAAAGGATCTGACATAGATGAAACGATCTTGAAAAAGAACATTGGAAAACTCACATTTTCCAGATTCACAACGTGCTACAAATCTACAGTAATCAAGAGAGTGTTTTACTGGCATAAGACCAATTGACATTTAGACCAATAGAATAGAATTGAGATCCTAGAAATTAGTCTTCACATATATGGTCGACGACTGTTCAACAAGGGGGCCAAGACCAGTCAATGGAGGAATGAACAGTCTGTTCAACAGCTGGGTATCAGTGCACAGGAGAGAAGTTAGACCCTTGCCTTGCACTATATACAAAAATTAACTCTAAATTAACAGAAGACTTAAATATAAGGACTAAAATGTGTAACTCTTGGACGAAAACACACAGGAAACCTTCATGACCTTTGAGTCTTAAGTGTTTTTTGAAATATGACAGAAAAGCACAGATAACAAAAGAAAAAATACATAAGTTAGATTTAATCAAAAACTTTCATGCATCAAAGGACACTATCAAGGAAATGAAAAGACAACCCATAGTATGTGAGAAAATATGTATCTGATAAAAGAAAAATGTGTATCTGATAAAAGCTTAATATCTCAAAACTCAACAACAGAATTTCTAACATCCCAATTAAAAAATAGGCAAAGGACCTGAATAGACGTTTCTCCAAAGAAGATAAACAAATGTCTAATAAGAACAAGAAAAGATGCTCAACACCATTATTCATTGATAAAATGGAAAACCAAACCAAAATGAGATGCCACTTTGCTTCCACTAGTATGGCTTTCATAACAACGACACAGAAAATAAATGTTGCTAAGGAGGTGGAGAAATTGGAGCCCTCATGAACTGGCTGCTAGGAATAGAAAATGATGCACTTGCTGTGAAAAACAATTTGGTACTTCCTCACAGAATCACACAGAGAACCAGAAATTCCACTCCTAGGTATGATACACAAAAAAGTTGACAGCAGGGTCTTGAACAGATATTTTTACACCAAAGTTAATTGCAGCATTATTCGCCATAGCCAGAGACAACCCTTGTCCATCAACGAATGGATACACAAAATATAATACATAAATAATAGAATATTATTCAGCCATTAAAGGGGATGAAGTTCTGATACATGCAACATGGGTGAAACTTGGAAACATGATGCTGAGTGAAGTAAACCAGACATGAAATGACAAATGTTGTATGATTCTGCTGATATGAAATATCTAGAACAGGCAAATCTGTGAAGACAGAATGAAGATTAGTGTTTACCAGAGACTGGGGAGAGGAAGTAATGGTGAGTTACTGTTTAAGGGTACTTTATTTCTTTTTGTGATGGAAATGGAGATGCTGGTTGTACAACACTGGGAATGTACTTAATGCTATGAATTATGTACTTAAAATTGTTAAAATTTTAACACAATTAAAAAATTTAAATACAGATCTGATAATTATTTCTATATCCATTGTTATTTAAAAGTTATTTGCTCAGTTGCCAAATATTAAGGTTTTTCTGAACATATTTTTGTTATTGATTTTTAATTTAGTCCTGTTTTGCTCAGAGCACAAACTGTCTATGATTTAATTTCTTTTATATTTAGTGAGAATTATTTGATGGTCCAGTACTTGATCTATCTTGATTAATGTTCCACAGACATTTGAAAAGTAGATCTGATTATCATCACCTTTACTCTGTTGATGTCTGTTTCACATTTTGAAGTTTCATTAGGTTCATCCATTTAAGATTGTTAATTTTATGAACTGGCCTTTTTTGATTATGACCTGACACCTTTATCTTTGGCAGTACTCCTGTTTTGAAGACCACTTTATCTAATATTAATATGGGCACACCATGTAGGGTTAGTATTTGCATGGCACATTTACATCCATACCTTTGCCTAAATGATGTAATAATTACTTTCCAAAACCACCTCCAAAGATGTTCTAAAACTATTATAATTAGGGATAGTTTCACCAGATCTTTCAAGAACTTTTAAATACCAGGGCTTAGATGACACTGATACCAGGGTACACAAAAATGCCATTAAGATACCTATTATAATTGGAATTTTCAGGGATCAGCTGATAAATGGCTTTCTGGTCCGCCTTTCTCTCACATTAGTCTAATGGGTTTGTTAAACTACCCTGTGTTCATTGCCCTGGTCATCGAGGACATAATTGAAATGGATGTACACAGCAACTTACAGAAATTGCATTGGTTTGTTGAAATGTAGAATAAGATCAATTATGGTAGGGAAGACCAAGCAAAAGTTCCGGTATTAGGCAGCGCTTTTCATAGAAACAGAATCAATAGGACACACACACACACACACACACACACACACACACACACACACAAACACACAGAGAGACAGAAGGATAGAGACAGAGAGAGAGAGAGAGACAAAAAGAGATAAATAAAGAAAATTTATTGTGGAAATTGGCTCACACAATTATGGAAGACAAAAAGTCCCATGCTATGCCATCTGCAAGCTGGAGAACCAGGAAAGCCAGTGATGTAATTCAATGAGTCTGAAGACTAAGAACCAGAAGAGTCAATGGTGTAAGTCCTGGCATCCAAACGCTCAAAAACTGGAGCTCCTCAGGGGAAGAGAAGATGGATATTGCTGTTATAGAAGAGGAAGCAAATGTGCCTTTCCTCTGCCGTTTTGTTGTATTCTGGCCTTCAAAGCTTGCGTGATGCTTGCCCACACTGCTAAGGGCAGGTCATCTTTACTCAGTTTACTGATTCAAATGCCAAGTTCCTCCAAAATCAGTCTCACAGTTTTCTGGGTACCCCATAAGCCAGTAAAAAAATAAAAGTAATAAAACATAAAATGGAATAGGAAATGGTAAAATAAAACATAAATGGTTAACATAAAATTCACCATCACATTCTCTCATGAAAACAGAAAATCAGCAACGAATAAGATGGCAGTAATAATAGCATTCTCAAAGATAAAAGGGGTGCAGGTGTCGAAGTCCCTAGCACATCCCCATTTAATGTACTGGAATGACCCATGCAAAATTTTGAATCTGGAGGATGATGGGGGAATCATGTAAATGTCAGCAACTGATAATTCCAAATGCATCTGCTGTGTATTGATATTATGTAGTATCTGTATTTTAACAGCTCAACCCAGCTTCTACTCTTGGTTTTGCATCTATGATCTGACAAATATCACTTTCTATCCCCTTCATGAAAACAGATAAAAGGTATTTTCATTCACCAGGGTAGACCACAGAACATATTTGCTGTCTTGCCCAGGGCTATGATTGTGTTTTGTTATAATATGACCTGAAGTAACCTTAATAGTCTTAAAATTACAAAGACCAAAATATTGATCACTATATTGATGATATCAGATTTATCAGCCCTAGTGAGCAAGAAATGTCATTTTCTGATACTCTTGTACAGGAATGTGAACAATAAACCATAATCTGAAACATAAAACCTACAGTCTTGAGACTGGCCTTTCACTGGTAAATATTTTAGGTTTGCGGTTGCCCTCAGTAATTCAGGATACCTTCCATGTAGAGGACAAGATGGTAAATTATTGCATTTTGTACCAGCTGACATATAAAAGCATCGCAGTGTTGGTTATGGTTCTCTGGATTTTGGGCACTATGTAAACACCCCACTTGGGAATACTGCATCAACCCATGTCTCCAATTTGTAATGGCTTTCAGCACAAGCAAGTCTTTTGTTCTCGTGAATTGGCAGAATTAAGAGAGCTCTTCATGACTGAGGTTAAACAGAAGCTCTGGCAAGCCCCCATGAGAAAGTTTTAAGTTATGTTTATATATGTATATGTAATAAAAAGTAATAGAACGCAAAAGGGAAAAGTGTCTCAAAGTTTCTTACTCTGTGTAAAAATAAGTACTATTAATAGCTTTCATGCAGCGTTTAATTATAATAAATATTATAAAAATTGTAAATAATACATATGCATATTCTTCCTTTCCCATAAGGTACTTTTATCTTACATATAAAATACATCTATTTTCATTTTCCTATTTGTGACTACAGGACAATTTAAAAATTACGATCTGTATTTATTTTACTTCAGTGATCTTCGCTGAAAAAGTTTCAACTGATTTTATAACGAATTAGATATAATCTGATTAGATATATTAGATATAACCTGAAATAATCATATAATTTAAGAAGTGGAAGAGAACTTGGGTATTACTGTTTTATGGCATAAAAAAGGGCTGAAGTCAAATAATAATAACGAACGTTTCTTGATCATTTACTATTTGTTAGGAACTTTGTTACAATTAATTTTCACAACAACCCCATGACCCACGTAATAGTTTAACCTTGTTTATTTTTTGCAATAAATCTATGGTATAGGTACTATTAATATTAGCAACTTCCTGGCTAACACGGTGAAACCCCGTCTCTACTAAAAATACAAAAAATTAGCCGGGCATGTTGGCACGCGCCTGTAGTCCCAGCTACTCGGGAGGCTGAGGCCGGAGAATGATGTGAACCCGGGAGGCGGAGCTTGCAGTGAGCCGAGATCGCGCCACCGCACTCCAGCCTGGGAGACAGAGCGAGACTCTGTCCCAAAAAAAAAAAAAAAAAAAAAAAAAAAAAAATATATATATATATATATATATATATATATATATATATATATATATATTCAGCTAGCAGTTTTCCACAGGGATGATTTTGTCCCCCGAGGTAAACCTGGACATTTTTGGTTGTCACGACGATGGGGTAGGAGACAGTGGCATCTAGTGGGTAAAGACCCGAGACGCAGATAAACAAAAAATGGGACAACGTCTGGGAGCAAAGAAATGTCCAGGCCAGATCTCAATGTATCAAGGCTGAGGAAGATTATCATAGAAGAAGAAACTGGATCTTTGAAAATTTATGTTTGCCTAAGACTCTTAAGTAAACAATGACAACCCAATAGTTTGTGGGGAAAACTTTGAAGCTACATAATAATAATGATAATAATAATAATAATAATCTAGATACTAATTTTCAAGTGACTCATAAAAAAACCCTTAAATATCTAAAGTAAGGTTTATTCTATTTTTCTGACCCCCTTTCTTTGCTCTATGATATTTTGGTTCAGATATATATTCTTTTTATTTAAACTTAAATAATGAATTTTCTTAATCTTTTCCAAATTAGATTCCATGAAAGCCTTCTCATATTGGAATTAGCAAATATTTGAAGACTCTTCTTACATGTTTGATTTGAGCACTGCTTAAGCATAGTGTATATTTTCATGTTATCATACTTCACTCTTTCTTATTTGAAAGTACATTATTTTTTAAATAACCTAAATTAGGCATATTTTTATATTTAGTACCTATGTGCTATGTCATTGATTTTTATTTTGATCTATCTTCTCTACTAATATTGCTGTCTTGATTTTAATATCCCAACATATATTACATTTCATATCATAAATACTTTGTGTTCTAGGATTATTGCTCCTCCTATAGCAAAGCAATAGTCTATTAAGGATATGAACTATCTGTTAAATCTTACACGTATTTCAACTTTGTTGAACATTTGAAGACATTTCTATATTTATTTTTCATTAATGACTCTTCATGATTGAGAGTAAATGTCAGTATCCAGGTGCTCAATGAGTATCAGTAGTTGGAGACTGATCTAGAGCTCATGGGATTTAGCTCATAAGTTACTTTTGTCCAGAGATTCTAAGACTGAGGGAAGGGTACAAATTGCTGTCTGCTGTAATACAGAGTAAAATATTAGGTGTGTAGTAAAATAGTCCTGCCAGACTTGTCCAATCTTACTATAGAATGTTGAGACTTTGTAAAGAAATGTTTAAATTAACATAACTTCAGATGACATATCTAGTAGTATAATGAGCTTATAATTTAATGGAAGTAAAACATTAACATTAAAAGATTATAAGGTAGATTGCACTCAGGGTGTTACCAGAGAGAATCATTCTAATGCACTAGATAGAGGTGGATAGGATTGTAGTACAGTCATCCCTCAGTATCTGTAGGAATCAGTTCCAGAAGCTCCCAGAGTCACTGAAACCCTGTAACATTTACATATAACCTATGCACATACTTCTGTGCACTTTAAATCATCCCTAGACTATTTGTAATACCTAGTAAAAGGAAAATGTTATGTAAATATTTGTTATCATGTATTGTTTAAGTAAGGGAATAAAGTCTGTACATATTAAGTATGAACACAATTTTTAAAAAATGTTTTTTATCTGTGGTTGGCTAAATAGATGGATGTGAAACCCACAGATATGAAGGGGATTTGAAACTGGTAAAGTTTTATTGTTTATTTTAAATTTAAAATATAACTGTTACTTCATATTAGGAGTATATTAATAATAAATGTTTACTGCAGAATAAAATAAAGACAAAAAAGTAGTTATTTATATAGCTATATCAATATTTTTCCAAACATACTTGTATTATTTTGTTTGCAAAAAATGGAGAGCATACAGAATAATTGGATTTAATTCTTATTAATTCATTTATAATTTTATGAGAAAGATACTTTTGTTCACTCAACATTTTTCAAAATACATTTTAATGGTTACATAACATTTGATGCAATTCTACCATATTAATGTACTATATATTTAGCCATTTCTTCATTATTAGGCATTTACATTATTTTAATTATATTCTTCTAAAATTTTATAAATATCTTCACTCAGAAGTATTTGTTTTTTTAAAATTTATGTAGATTGGCATTACTGGGCAAATGTCTTGAAACTTTCTTATTTATTAAGTATTTTTCCACCATGAGATTTTAACAGGTATTTGTCTTTGAGTTATTTGATTTTTATTTGATTACAGTTAACTGTTGTGTCCATCTGGAAATTATTTTTATATTAAATGTAAGTTCAAATTATAATGATATATTTCAAATATATAATTGAATTTTTAAAAGTAATATTTAATAATTCTTCATTCACTGATCCAAATGACACTTAAAAAATAAGTTTAACAAAAGCTTACTCTATTATCATGATTTTTAATTAATACAGTTTTTTAAATCAGATTTTCATTTCCTATAAGGGCACTCATTATTTTTTGTTACCTCTGTTCCCCTCTAGTTTTTCATTCTTTTCTTTTTAAATTTCAACTTTTATTTTATATTCCAGGGGTAGATGTGCAGGTTTGTTACAAAGATATATGATGTGATGCTCAGGTTTGGAGTATGACTGAACCCACCACCCAGAAATAAGTAGTTTCTCAGTCTCTCCTCTGGTATCCCCAGCGTCAGTTGTCCCCATCTTTATAACCATGTGTACCCAACGTTTAGTTCCCACTTATCAGTGAGAACACATGGTATTTGGTTTTCTGTTTCTGCTTTAGTTCACTTAAGGTAATGGCCTCTGGCTGTATCCATGTTGCTACAAATAACAGTTTCGTTCTTCTTTATGGCTGTGTAGTATTACATGTTGCATATGTACCACATTTTCTTTATCCAATCCACTGCTGATGGGCACTTGGTTTGGTTGCATGTCTTTGCTATTGTGACTAGTGTTGCAATGAATGTATGGGTGTGTGTAGTGTATGTATCTTTTCGGTGGAACAATGTATTTTCCTTTGGGTGTATATCCAGTAATGGGGTTGCTGGGTAACTTGGTAGTTCAGCTCTGAGTTCTTTAAGAAATCTGCAAACTGCTTTCTACAGTGACTGAACTAATTCACATTCCCACCAACAGTGTACAAGAACTCCCTTTTCTCCGCAGCCCCACCAGCAGCTGTTATTTTTTGACTATTTAACCAAAAGCCATTCTGACTGGTATGAGACTGTATCTCACTATGGTTTTGATTTGCGTTTCTCTGATGATTAGTGATGATTAGCATCTTTTCATATGTTTGATGGTTGTTTGTCTTCTTTTCAATAGTGTCTGTTCATGTTCTTTGACCATTTTTTAATGGGGTTATTGGTTTTTTGCTTGTTTGCTTAAGTTTCTTGTAAATTGTGGATATTAGTCCTTTGTTGGATGAATAGTTTGTGAATATTTCTCCCATTCTGTAGGTTGTCTGTTGTATTAGTCCATTCTCACACTGTTAATAAGTACGTACCAAGACTGGGTAATTTATAAAGGAAACAGTTTTAATTGACTCATGGTTCCACATGGCTGGGGAGACCTCACCATCATGTCACGAGGCAAAGGAGAAGCAAAGTCATGTCTTACATAGAAGCAGGCAAGAGAGCTTGTGCAGGGGAACTGCCCATTATAAAACCATCAGCTCTCCTGAGACTTACTCACTGTCATGAGAACAGCATGGGAAAAACCCACCCCCATGATTCAGTTACCTCCCACCAGGTCCCTCCCATGATACATGGGCATTATGGGAGCTACAATTCAAGATGAGATTTGGGTGGGGACACAGACAACGACATCATTTTGCCCTGGCCCCTCCCAAATCTCATGTCCTCACATTTTGAAACACAGTCATGCCCTTCCAACAGTCCCCTAAAGTCTTAACTCGTTTCAGCATTGACTTGAAAGTCCACAGTCCAAAGTCTAATCTGAGACAAGGCAAATTTCTTCTGCCTATGAGCTTGTAAAATTAAAAGCAAGTTATTTACTTCCCAGATACAATGGGGGTATAGGCATTAGATAAATACACCCATTCCAAATGGGAGAAATTGGCCAAAGCAAAGAGGTCACAGGCCTCATGCAAGTCTGAAATCCAGCAGGGCAGTCAGTTCTTGAAGCTCCAAAGTGATCTTCTTTGACCCCATGTCTCACATCCAGGTCACTCTGATGTAAGAGGTGGGCTCCCAGGACCTTGGGCAACTCTGTCCCTGTGGCTTTGCAGGATACAGACCCCCCCCTGGGTTGAGTTTCTGCAGCTTTTCCAGGAACACAGTGCAAGCTGTCAGTAGATCTACCATTCCAGGGTCTGGAGGAGGGTGGCTTTCTTCCCACAGCTCCACTAGGCAGTACCACAGTGGGGACTGTGTGGGGGCCCCGACCCCACATTTCCCTTCTGTGTGCACATAAGCAACTTCTTACCAGTTCTGCATGAGTTGTTTTAGGTAATATAAATACAAGACCAACAATCTCTTATCTCCAAATTCATATTTCATTTTCCTCCAAGATATCAGGACCTTAGATACAAGATGGTGATTACACCACGTAAATACAATAAATCCAGAATGTGTGCGTGTGTACAATCTGTTTAGCTGTAATCTGTTCTCAACATGCAAACTGGTTATGTTTGAAAATGAAGTTTTGAGCTAAAAATATATTTCCTTAAAAAATAGTGATTAGATTTCCAAGTGAGTTCATAAGACTCCATTTATCATATAAAGTATATAAAAGGAAAACGATTAAAGGAATGGTAAGGATGAGAATGTGGATCCTGGGAAATTAAGGAGCAGTGGTTAGAAGAGGTTTTTTCTCTCAGCCCTTCTGTTTGCATTCTCTTCATTTTTGCCGCTCAGGTTATCAAGGACTGCAATTACAGAAGATGAATAAAGACGTTTAAGAATAAATTGAGAAATACAAGTCAAGACCTTTACATGTTCATTATATTTCATAATTCTAAGTTGGCAACAGACAGATGTATATCCAAAAATAATGATGTGCTTTTTAAAATTTTTCTTTTCTTCCTCATTTCTTTCATATCACATCAGATCAAAATTCTAGTTCACTGGGATTATAGCAAGGTAAGAAGTAACCACCAGGCTAATGTGTGTGTGATAGTGTAGAGTGAGAAACTGCATCTTGCCAGGGAGAGGATTTACAGTAATTTGGAGAAAAGTGAGCAAAAAACAGAGAGTTTGAAAAGCAGAGAGGAGGAACTGGAATGGGCTCTTTCTCTGTAGTGCATAAAAGCAAGTGTTTACAAAGTCTTACAACTTAGAACTTTAAAAGTAGCTGTAAGTCTATCTTGTACAATATTTTACTAAATTCAAGAATTTCTTCCGAAATTTTCTTAAAAGTTAGTCTTAAAAGTGTCATAAGACACTTTCTCAGTAGGAGTTATTCTCTCAGTAGCAACAAGGGAGGGAGGGAAGTAAGTGGTTGAGCACATGGGCTCTGGAGGAGATTGTTTTGTTCGAACTCCTGATCCCATTGCCAACAGGACCCTAGTCAAGGCTTTGAATTTCTTTGTATTTCAATCTCCTCATTCCCAATCCCCACCCAAAATGGACAAAATAATAAAGTATGTTAAGTAGCAAACCTATAAATTTATGTAAAGTGATTAGAAAATACTGAACAGATCAAAATCATTGAAGAAAAAATTAAAATTTATTATCTTCCATTAAAAATAATAACAGAAGAATATGGTAACTTTGACATATTTATTTCATACTGCCCCAAAACCTTCACTTAGCTAATAGAAAATGAATAATATAACAATAACAACAATAGCCATAATAGCAACAATTAAAAAATACAAACCCATACAGACAAAGAAAACAGGAGAAAAATTAGTAGGTAAGAGACGGCTACATTTTGGAAATAACATTTGTGAATGAAAAATTAAAAAAGATGATTGCCTACAATGCAGATATCTCAAAAATTATATTTATCCTGGCAAAAATCTCTATAAAGAAGTGCTATTAGCCAGGTGTGGTGGTGCGTGCCTGTGGTCCCAGCTACTCGGGAAGCTGAAGTGGGGGATCGCTGGAACCCGGGAGGCGGAGGTTGCAGTGAGCAGAGATCGCACCACTGCACTCCAGCCTCAGTGACAGAACAAGAATTTGTCTAAAAAAAATAAATTTTTTAAAAATTAAAATAAATAATACATAAATAAATAAAGTAGTGCCATGGGAGGTGATGCAAATAGGAAAAAAAAATGTTTTAAGAAACTGGAATCCTGTATACACATCCTCAATCTAATATTGCCAGGCTTCTACCTCTCTGAAATCAGACAGCTGGTGGTTGTTATCCTGGAAAACATCTTATGTCCTATAAGAAGAGTTCTCTGAGACAGCAACCACAGCTGAGTAACATACAGAAATCAGGGAAGTTAAGGGTAGAAATTCTACATACTAATGGGAGACACTTTATTAATCACCTGTTACTGCTAGGTTCCTACAAGGAACAGTGACAGTGGTACCCTCAGAAGGAGATCAGAAGATTGCACTGTAGTTGCCTGAACCACTCAAGAGAAAAGGCTTGGAGATACTGATATTTGCATGCCATCCCTCAAAGTCATGATCTATCTATAGTCAATACTTAAAATTCACTCAGGAATTAAAATGAATAAAACAGAAATAAATGAAACAAGATGGATAAAATTTCATAAGCATTATGTTGAGATAAACAATGTTTCAGGATATATTCAATTTACAAACATTTTTCTCATACAAAACAATAATATATATTTGAGGAATATGCATATGTGTATGAATGTATGAAAACATGAATGGGAATGTATCAAACCATCTTAAGAGGCTATCGTTAAAAGGTGATCTCTAAGAGGAAAGAATGGAATGTGTAAGTCCTATCTGTATCTCTATCATTTTGTTATAAAAGAAAACTGAAGCAAATCTGGAAAAATCATTTTTTGTATTTTAGGTTTTTTTAATATATAAAAAAAAATTTTTTTAAATAAAGATATTTCTTCTGCTTAAGGATAGAGTAAATAACAGCATCTGGCTATTTCAGGACACTAAATTGCTGAAAGAGAAATGGGTGCTAGGTAAAGATAGGACACCAAAAGGCCATTTCCTGAAGCATTCTCAATGATGGTTGAGCAAGATGACAGTGTCCTCTTTCAGGACACCTGACATCCAAGAAGGCACCTTTTATATTACTTAAAAGTATCAGGATCAGGATGTCAAGAACATGGGAAGATACTGAGAGCACTAAAGCATCAACGCAGAGTTTTGCACAAGTAGATGAAAAGACCAAAAGACAATGATAATAAAACAGTGAAGAAGAATTTAAGTAAAAGGAAGAAAATGCTAATTCTGATTTGATGGCTAACTTAATACAACTGTTAAGTTTAACCTAACGCTGCCTCCTTACATATTTTAAATTCGGCTTAATGATTTCTTTGTACATAGTGAACTATATCTAACTGAATGTGTAAACAGACTGTAATCTACTGTTGTGCCAATCACCGAGTTTCAGCCAATCAAAGATGGCCAACTGTTACAACTGTTAAAGTAAGGCAAAAGCCAAATTGTCTGTTTTGGTACTTCACTTCCGTTTTCTCTATGTCACTTTCCTTTTTCTATCCATGAATCTTCTTTGACCAAGAGACAGCACTGGATCATCTCTGAACGTATTTTGGTTCAGCGGCTGCCCAATTTGTGAATCGTTCTTTGCTTGATTAAATTCTGTTAAATTTAAGATTTTTCTTTTAACACAACTCTACATAGGCTAAAGCGTGGGTATTCTTTTCATTCAGTAACAAAGAACCATCAGTCTTGATAAGAAAATGGTTCAGAAAGAGGCATATAAAGAAATGGGTACAGTTCAGAAACAACAATAGGATGGTGGGTTTTGTACTGTTCTAAGGAACAATGACATTCTGTAGAGGTTTTGCAGGATCAGTCAAGTTATATGAGAAGGAAACTGGGGAAGTGTCTTTCAAGTTGCCTCTTCTGTGTTCATCAGAAAAACTCCATTTTTTATTTGTTTTACATATTAGATATATATATATAATGTTTGTAGGAAAAAGGCTATAATACTTAAATACATATTTGAAATAATAGACAAAAGGACACATAAATTATAGGATAGCTTTATAAGTCTGCCTGACTTCATCATTTTTCATTTTTATTTTTATTTATTTATTTATTTATCTATTTATCTATTTATTTATTTTTGAGATGGAGTCGCGCTCTGTCGCCCAGGCTGGAGTGCAGCGGCCCGATCTCGGCTCACTGCAAGCTCTGCCTCCCGGGTTCACGCCATTCTCCTGCCTCAGCCTCCCGAGTAGCTGGGACTACAGGTGCCCGCCACCACGCCCCGCTAATTTTTTTTGCATTTTCAGTAGAGACAGGGTTTCACCGTGTTAGCCGGGATGGTCTCGATCTGCTGACCTCGTGATCCGCCCGCGTTGGCCTCCCAAAGTGCTGGGATTTACAGGCATGAGCCACCGCTCCCGGCCCAACATTTTTTAATTTTAATGATTTAATTTTAATTTTAATGAAAGTCTTACAGATACTGCATTTAATTAATCTAGCCAAAACTGATTATTAATTCCACATAAAGTAAAATTCTGCTTTGTTTCTAGATCGTCAATCTTTTTAAAAAATGAATTTGCAGAAGAGATAATAACTTTAAGTAGTAGCAAATTAAACAATATGGTGAAAATTCAGTGTCTCAATGATGACAGCCATTGAGTTTGAAAACACACGTATTTGCATGTGTCTCCCCTCCCACTGTCCACATCGTGTAGCAGAATCTAAATTTGCTAGATTCTGACACAAGAAAAACTAGTTAGAATAACTCTTATGTATTAAAGAAATACTATCAATAATTAATAACTTCCTAAATATAAAGTACCAGTCCCAGATGGGTCCACTGGTAGAATCTACCAAACATTTATGAAAAATATTATAACAACTCCTTACAATCTTTTTCAGAAGACAGAATCAGAGGGAATATTTCCTAACTCATTCAATGAGGCTAATATTAAAACAGCACAATGATATTACAGTAAAAGAAAACTGCATACCAATGTTTCACATGAGTGTGTATGAAAAATCCCCAACAAGACAAGACTAGTCATTGTAGTTTCACTGATTGGAACAAATTTAGATTCCCCTGCAGGATGTGGACAGTGGGAGGGGAGACGCGTGCAAATTTAGATTCCGCTGCAGGATGTGGACAGTGGGAGGGGAGACGCGTGCAAATTTAGATTCTGCTATGCGATGTGGACAGTGGGAGGGGAGACGCGTGCAAATTTAGATTCTGCTACAGGATGTGGACAGTGGGAGGGGAGACGCATGCAAATTTAGATTCTGCTACAGGATGTGGACAGTGGGAGGGGAGACGCATGCAAATTTAGATTCTGCTACAGGATGTGGACAGTGGGAGGGGAGACGCCTGCAAATTTAGGTTCTGCTACAAGATGTGGACAGTGGGAGGGGAGACGCGTGCAAATTTAGATTCTGCTACAGGATGTGGACAGTGGGAGGGGAGACGCGTGCAAATTTAGATTCTGCTACGGGATGTGGACAGTGGGAGGGTAGACGCTTGCAAATTTAGGTTCTGCTACGCGATGTGGACAGTGGGAGGGGAGACGCGTGCAAATTTAGGTTCTGCTACGCGATGTGGACAGTGGGAGGGGAGACGCGTGCAAATTTAGATTCTGCTACGCGATGTGGACAGTGGGAGGAGAGACGCATGCAAATTTAGATTCTGCTACAGGATGTGGACAGTGGGAGGGGAGACGCGTGCAAATTTAGATTCTGCTATGCGATGTGGACAGTGGGAGGAGAGACGCGTGCAAATTTAGATTCTGCTACAGGTTGTGGACAGTGGGAGGGGAGACGCGTGCAAATTTAGATTCTGCTATGCGATGTGGACAGTGGGAGGAGAGACGCGTGCAAATTTAGATTCTGCTACAGGATGTGGACAGTGGGGAGAGAGACGCATGCAAATTTAGATTCTGCTACAGATGTGACAGTGGGAGGGGAGACGCATGCAAATTTAGATTCCGCTGCAGGATGTGGACAGTGGGAGGGGAGACGCGTGCAAATTTAGATTCCCCTGCAGGATGTGGACAGTGGGAGGGGAGACGCGTGCAAATTTAGATTCCGCTGCAGGATGTGGACAGTGGGAGGGGAGACGCATGCAAATTTAGATTCTGCTACAGGATGTGGACAGTGGGAGGGGAGACGCGTGCAAATTTAGATTCCGCTGCAGGATGTGGACAGTGGGAGGGGAGACGCGTGCAAATTTAGATTTAGCTGCAGGATGTGGACAGTGGGAGGGGAGACGCGTGCAAATTTAGATTCTGCTACAGGATGTGGACAGTGGGAGGGGAGACGCGTGCAAATTTAGATTCTGCTACGCGATGTGGACAGTGGGAGGGGAGACGCGTGCAAATTTAGATTCTGCTACAGGATGTGGACAGTGGGAGGGGAGACGCATGCAAATTTAGATTCTGCTACAGGATGTGGACAGTGGGAGGGGAGACGCGTGCAAATTTAGATTCTGCTACAGGATGTGGACAGTGGGAGGGGAGACGCCTGCAAATTTAGGTTCTGCTACAGGATGTGGACAGTGGGAGGGGAGACGCGTGCAAATTTAGATTCTGCTACAGGATGTGGACAGTGGGAGGGGAGACGCGTGCAAATTTAGATTCTGCTACGGGATGTGGACAGTGGGAGGGGAGACGCGTGCAAATTTAGGTTCTGCTACGCGATGTGGACAGTGGGAGGGGAGACGCGTGCAAATTTAGGTTCTGCTACGCGATGTGGACAGTGGGAGGGGAGACGCGTGCAAATTTAGATTCTGCTACAGGATGTGGACAGTGGGAGGGGAGACGCGTGCAAATTTAGATTCTGCTATGCGATGTGGACAGTGGGAGGAGAGACGCGTGCAAATTTAGATTCTGCTACAGGTTGTGGACAGTGGGAGGGGAGACGCGTGCAAATTTAGATTCTGCTATGCGATGTGGACAGTGGGAGGAGAGACGCGTGCAAATTTAGATTCTGCTACAGGATGTGGACAGTGGGAGAGGAGACGCATGCAAATTTAGATTCTGCTACAGGATGTGGACAGTGGGAGGGGAGACGCGTGCAAATTTAGATTCTGCTATGCGATGTGGACAGTGGGAGGAGAGACGCGTGCAAATTTAGATTCTGCTACAGGATGTGGACAGTGGGAGGAGAGACGCGTGCAAATTTAGATTCCCCTGCAGGATGTGGACAGTGGGAGGGGAGACGCGTGCAAATTTAGATTCCGCTGCAGGATGTGGACAGTGGGAGGGGAGACGCATGCAAATTTAGATTCTGCTACAGGATGTGGACAGTGGGAGGGGAGACGCATGCAAATTTAGATTCCGCTGCAGGATGTGGACAGTGGGAGGGGAGACGCGTGCAAATTTAGATTTAGCTGCAGGATGTGGACAGTGGGAGGGGAGACGCGTGCAAATTTAGATTCCGCTGCAGGATGTGGACAGTGGGAGGGGAGACGCGTGCAAATTTAGATTTAGCTGCAGGATGTGGACAGTGGGAGGGGAGACGCGTGCAAATTTAGATTCTGCTACAGGATGTGGACAGTGGGAGGGGAGACGCGTGCAAATTTAGATTCTGCTACAGGATGTGGACAGTGGGAGGGGAGACGCATGCAAATTTAGATTCCGCTGCAGGATGTGGACAGTGGGAGGGGAGACGCGTGCAAATTTAGATTTAGCTGCAGGATGTGGACAGTGGGAGGGGAGACGCGTGCAAATTTAGATTCTGCTACAGGATGTGGACAGTGGGAGGGGAGACGCGTGCAAATTTAGATTCTGCTACGCGATGTGGACAGTGGGAGGGGAGACGCGTGCAAATTTAGATTCTGCTACAGGATGTGGACAGTGGGAGGGGAGACGCATGCAAATTTAGATTCTGCTACAGGATGTGGACAGTGGGAGGGGAGACGCGTGCAAATTTAGATTCTGCTACAGGATGTGGACAGTGGGAGGGGAGACGCCTGCAAATTTAGGTTCTGCTACAGGATGTGGACAGTGGGAGGGGAGACGCGTGCAAATTTAGATTCTGCTACAGGATGTGGACAGTGGGAGGGGAGACGCGTGCAAATTTAGATTCTGCTACGGGATGTGGACAGTGGGAGGGTAGACGCTTGCAAATTTAGGTTCTGCTACGCGATGTGGACAGTGGGAGGGGAGACGCATGCAAATTTAGATTCCGCTGCAGGATGTGGACAGTGGGAGGGGAGACGCGTGCAAATTTAGATTCCGCTGCAGGATGTGGACAGTGGGAGGGGAGACGCATGCAAATTTAGATTCCGCTGCAGGATGTGGACAGTGGGAGGGGAGACGCGTGCAAATTTAGATTCCGCTGCAGGATGTGGACAGTGGGAGGGGAGACGCGTGCAAATTTAGATTCTGCTACAGGATGTGGACAGTGGGAGGGGAGACGCATGCAAATTTAGATTCCGCTGCAGGATGTGGACAGTGGGAGGGGAGACGCGTGCAAATTTAGATTCCGCTGCAGGATGTGGACAGTGGGAGGGGAGACGCATGCAAATTTAGATTCCGCTGCAGGATGTGGACAGTGGGAGGGGAGACGCGTGCAAATTTAGATTTAGCTGCAGGATGTGGACAGTGGGAGGGGAGACGCGTGCAAATTTAGATTCTGCTACAGGATGTGGACAGTGGGAGGGGAGACGCGTGCAAATTTAGATTCTGCTACGCGATGTGGACAGTGGGAGGGGAGACGCGTGCAAATTTAGATTCTGCTACAGGATGTGGACAGTGGGAGGGGAGACGCGTGCAAATTTAGATTCTGCTACAGGATGTGGACAGTGGGAGGGGAGACGCGTGCAAATTTAGATTCTGCTACAGGATGTGGACAGTGGGAGGGGAGACGCCTGCAAATTTAGGTTCTGCTACAGGATGTGGACAGTGGGAGGGGAGACGCGTGCAAATTTAGATTCTGCTACAGGATGTGGACAGTGGGAGGGGAGACGCGTGCAAATTTAGATTCTGCTACGGGATGTGGACAGTGGGAGGGTAGACGCTTGCAAATTTCGGTTCTGCTACGCGATGTGGACAGTGGGAGGGGAGACGCGTGCAAATTTAGATTCTGCTACGCGATGTGGACAGTGGGAGGAGAGACGCATGCAAATTTAGATTCTGCTACAGGATGTGGACAGTGGGAGGGGAGACGCGTGCAAATTTAGATTCTGCTATGCGATGTGGACAGTGGGAGGAGAGACGCGTGCAAATTTAGATTCTGCTACAGGATGTGGACAGTGGGAGGGGAGACGCGTGCAAATTTAGATTCTGCTACAGGATGTGGACAGTGGGAGGAGAGACGCGTGCAAATTTAGATTCTGCTACAGGATGTGGACAGTGGGAGAGGAGACGCATGCAAATTTAGATTCTGCTACAGGATGTGGACAGTGGGAGGGGAGACCTGTGCAAATTTAGATTCTGCTACAGGATGTGGACAGTGGGAGAGGAGACGCATGCAAATTTAGATTCTGCTGCAGGATGTGGACAGTGGGAGGGGAGACCTGTGCAAATTTAGATTCTGCTACAGGATGTGGACAGTGGGAGGAGAGACGCGTGCAAATTTAGATTCTGCTACAGGATGTGGACAGTGGGAGAGGAGACGCATGCAAATTTAGATTTTGCTACAGGATGTGGACAGTGGGAGGGGAGACGCGTGCAAATTTAGATTCTGCTATGCGATGTGGACAGTGGGAGGAGAGACGCGTGCAAATTTAGATTCTGCTACAGGATGTGGACAGTGGGAGGGGAGACGCGTGCAAATTTAGATTCTGCTACGGGATGTGGACAGTGGGAGGGTAGACGCGTGCAAATTTAGATTCTGCTACGCGATGTGGACAGTGGGAGAGGAGACGCATGCAAATTTAGGTTCTGCTACGCGATGTGGACAGTGGGAGGGGAGACGCGTGCAAATTTAGATTCTGCTACGGGATGTGGACAGTGGGAGGGGAGACGCGTGCAAATTTAGGTTCTGCTACGCGATGTGGACAGTGGGAGGGGAGACGCGTGCAAATTTAGGTTCTGCTACGCGATGTGGACAGTGGGAGGGGAGACGCGTGCAAATTTAGATTCTGCTACGCGATGTGGACAGTGGGAGGAGAGACGCATGCAAATTTAGATTCTGCTACAGGATGTGGACAGTGGGAGGGGAGACGCGTGCAAATTTAGATTCTGCTATGCGATGTGGACAGTGGGAGGAGAGACGCGTGCAAATTTAGATTCTGCTACAGGATGTGGACAGTGGGAGGGGAGACGCGTGCAAATTTAGATTCCGCTGCAGGATGTGGACAGTGGGAGGGGAGACGCGTGCAAATTTAGATTGCGCTGCAGGATGTGGACCGTGGGAGAGGAGACGCATGCAAATTTAGATTCCGCTGCAGGATGTGGACAGTGGGAGGGGAGACGCATGCAAATTTAGATTCTGCTACAGGATGTGGACAGTGGGAGGGGAGACGCTTGCAAATTTAGATTCTGCTATGCGATGTGGACAGTGGGAGGAGAGACGCGTGCAAATTTAGATTCTGCTACAGGATGTGGACAGTGGGAGGGGAGACGCGTGCAAATTTAGATTCTGCTACGGGATGTGGACAGTGGGAGGGTAGACGCTTGCAAATTTCGGTTCTGCTACGCGATGTGGACAGTGGGAGGGGAGACGCGTGCAAATTTAGATTCTGCTACGCGATGTGGACAGTGGGAGGAGAGACGCGTGCAAATTTAGATTCTGCTACAGGATGTGGACAGTGGGAGGGGAGACGCGTGCAAATTTAGATTCTGCTATGCGATGTGGACAGTGGGAGGAGAGACGCGTGCAAATTTAGATTCTGCTACAGGATGTGGACAGTGGGAGGGGAGACGCGTGCAAATTTAGATTCCGCTGCAGGATGTGGACAGTGGGAGGGCAGACGCGTGCAAATTTAGATTCGCTGCAGGATGTGGACCGTGGGAGAGGAGACGCATGCAAATTTAGATTCCGCTGCAGGATGTGGACAGTGGGAGGGGAGACGCATGCAAATTTAGATTCTGCTACAGGATGTGGACAGTGGGAGGGGAGACGCTTGCAAATTTAGATTCTGCTATGCGATGTGGACAGTGGGAGGAGAGACGCGTGCAAATTTAGATTCTGCTACAGGATGTGGACAGTGGGAGGGGAGACGCGTGCAAATTTAGATTCTGCTACGGGATGTGGACAGTGGGAGGGTAGACGCTTGCAAATTTCGGTTCTGCTACGCGATGTGGACAGTGGGAGGGGAGACGCGTGCAAATTTAGATTCTGCTACGCGATGTGGACAGTGGGAGGAGAGACGCGTGCAAATTTAGATTCTGCTACAGGATGTGGACAGTGGGAGGGGAGACGCGTGCAAATTTAGATTCTGCTATGCGATGTGGACAGTGGGAGGAGAGACGCGTGCAAATTTAGATTCCGCTGCAGGATGTGGACAGTGGGAGGGGAGACGCGTGCAAATTTAGATTCTGCTACGCGATGTGGACAGTGGGAGGGGAGACGCGTGCAAATTTAGATTCTGCTACGCGATGTGGACAGTGGGAGGAGAGACGCGTGCAAATTTAGATTCTGCTACAGGATGTGGACAGTGGGAGGGGAGACGCGTGCAAATTTAGATTCTGCTATGCGATGTGGACAGTGGGAGGAGAGACGCGTGCAAATTTAGATTCCGCTGCAGGATGTGGACAGTGGGAGGGGAGACGCGTGCAAATTTAGATTCTGCTACAGGATGTGGACAGTGGGAGGGGAGACGCGTGCAAATTTAGATTCTGCTACAGGATGTGGACCGTGGGAGGGGAGACGCGTGCAAATTTAGATTCCGCTGCAGGATGTGGACAGTGGGAGGGGAGACGCGTGCAAATTTAGATTGCGCTGCAGGATGTGGACCGTGGGAGAGGAGACGCATGCAAATTTAGATTCCGCTGCAGGATGTGGACAGTGGGAGGGGAGACGCGTGCAAATTTAGATTCCGCTGCAGGATGTGGACCGTGGGAGAGGAGACGCGTGCAAATTTAGATTCCGCTGCAGGATGTGGACAGTGGGAGGGGAGACGCGTGCAAATTTAGATTCTGCTACAGGATGTGGACAGTCGGAGGGGAGACGCGTGCAAATTTAGATTCTGCTACGCGATGTGGACCGTGGGAGGGGAGATGCATGGACGTGGATGGGGATTTGTGGAAACTCTCTGGATTTTGTGTTCAATTTTACTGTGAACCTAAAACTGCTCTAAAAAATAAAGTTTATTTAAAATATCTTGAAGACTATTTTTATTCATTTCAAAGTTTTATAACGAGTGTGTTCAAAATTACTGGTGTAATTAAAATAAATCTGTATCTCCATGTTTTAATCTTACATTGTCATTCCCTTTGACGGATCCTCCAGATACTCTAATATCCCATCTTACCTGCTTACAGCCACTGTCTCCCTCTCCCTGCCTCCATCTTTCTCCCTCTTCCTTTTATTTTTTCTCCTTCCTTCTCTACCCCTCAGTTTTCCTTCTTTTGGATTCTTATGCTGTGAACAGTAGACATTTTTTAAATTACCGTAAGTATTGAGGGCATATGACACAAACTTATGGTGGAATTAGGGCAGCCGAGCACAGTGTCTCTGCATTCACAGAACTGGGTCTTAGTTCGGGCCTCAGGCAGGACTGGGTCTGAGTTCAGGAAACTATCGTCAGATAAAACCAAGTGTCTGGCTCTGTGATTGCCAGTCTGGTGACTCAACTTTCTGTCTCTATCTGCTCTTATAATCACAAGACCCACTACTTCTCTTTGCTTGCCTGACATTTAGACTAGTTTTAATAAAGTCCATTTGACCCTACTAATTACCAGGAAAATAAAACATGCCTTTGGGCACACACACCTCACATGAGCCCCTGTACTAGCCAATTAATGTGTAAAAGCTCTACCAAATGGTGTCTTTTCTTGGTCTATTAACCAATTATACAAATATCCCTCCTCTAACAGTCTTGATAGAGATTCAATCTAGATCCAAATTCTATGAAGTTCACGTGTATTAGTTTACCAGTCCACTTCAGTTATCTGCTAAAGCCTTTGCGTTGTCCAGTTTTCTAGTTTTAAACGATCAGAGGAGACCGTCCGGTAGATGAGACACTTTGGTAATATGTGGTAGTAGCACCAAAGGCCATCTGTAGAGAAAAATCATGAAATTCTTTAATTACTTTGAATTCTGTATAAAAAATAGAAATATAAAAATAGTTTCTGTGATTTAAAATTGCTATTAAATAAAGACTTGTCATATGCTTTTTAAAAAATTGTCCTTTTTAGGCAGAGAAGTAGTGCATGAGTTGGCAATTATTTAACTTATTGGTATAGATACATCTATATTTATACTTATATGTATTTGTGTAGTGTGTGTACTTGTATGTGTATACATAAAAGAACACTAATGACTAAATATTGAACTTGATGACTTACATTGGAAACCCCGAGAAAGAAGGATGTCTTATTTGCGTCACGTACTACGCCATAGCACACACTTAGTACTCAGAAAGTTAAATAATAATAATAACCATTGTGTAATAAAAATGGTCACGGGGACAAACTGGTAGAGGGAGAATGAAGTCCAGTAATAATAACTGATACAATACTAGTCTCCAGAAGAACATGTAATTTTTCATCTCTTTTACCCCCAAGATACTCTTAGAATTATTCAGGTGAAGTCTGACTCACAGAACTCCCAGCATATACAAATGCAAGAATTTATAGTCCAAGTTTGTTGTAAGTAATGGATCAGTGCACATCTGGGAGAAAAGCATAAAAGAACAGTCAGATTGAGGTGTTTTATTTTTCATTCAATCTCATTTATTTGAACATTTATTAAATCTGCAGTGGGTGGTTAACTCATACTGTGGATGTCTCCAAGCCCTCAGGAGAGTGTTCATCCAAGAGACAGAGAGAGCCCCTGAGGGTCTATTTGGCAGAGACTGACAAAGAGACGAAAATATTTGAAAACATGCTATCTTCTCCAGACATTTGTCTGTACATTTGTATAACAGCTGTGGGTGAGACTTTTTCCCACTACTCAATGTTCTTTTCTCCCAAGCTGAGTGTAATTTTAAATATCTACACACACTGTGAATAGACATAGGGCATCACCTAAATTCAAATAACAGTCTCTAGTCAGTGATGGTTTATGTGTAACCTAAACACTTTCTGGCCAAACTGGGGAGGGAGGGAAGGAAGGAAGGAAGGCAAGCTGTTAAAATGATGGTTTATGTGTAACCTAACACTTTCTGGCCAAACTGGGGAAGGAGGGAGGGAGGGCGGGCAGCCAGGCTGGCTGGCTGTTACAATGATGGTTTATGTGTAACCTAAACACTTCCTGGCCAAACTGTGGGGGCGGGGGTAGGGAGGGAGGGAGGGAGGGACGGAAGGAAGGAAGGAAGGAAGGAAGGAAGGAAGGAAGGAAGGAAGGAAGGAAGGAAGGAAGGAAGGAAGGAAGGAAGATTGTTACAGTGATGGTTTATGTGTAACCTAAACACTTTCTGGCTAAACTGGGGAGGGAGGGAGGGACGGAGGGAGGGAAGGAAGGAAGGAAGACTGTTACACTAGAGATTTCAAAATAAAATTTAGGGGAGAGTAGTAGTACATAAACTATTAATAACCAATATGTTATAATAATTTAACTAAAATGAACAAAATTCCTATTATGGTATCTATGAACATGCTTTCTTAGAGTAAAATATTCTCATATCTTGGTAGGGCACTGGTTAAAAACAGCAAGGATTTAGAAGTCGAAGTCTTATCAAGTAAGTAGCAGACCCGTCTTCAGACCCTTTACAGAGTTATCCAAAAAGCAGTCATTGAAACAAGAGCAGATAATTTTTCTAGCTTTCTATTAAGTTTAGATGTTAATGTTACTACACAATTTAACTTTCTTATAAAATTACCTGATAAAGTTTTATACAATATTATGATATAGTATATCAAAATTTATTTATATGTCAAATTTTACATGATATTGGAGACGCATGGATTGATGATGCGTATATGATGATTTTATGATAAGTTCCACTTAAATTCAGACAATTTCATTAGGCAGTGTCTGTCGACCACTAATTTTTTTTTTTGGTTCCACTATTTGCACAGACAGCACAGCTGGGAAAACAGATTCACCCGACACAGTATCTTCCCCGCGTCTTTCTCCTCCTCAGGGAATCAGTTCATCAGTCAATCAAGTCATTTGGGACTGGAGGCTGAGTACTCCCTAACGTAGAAGGTCTCATTCCTGCATGCTTTCTTCAGCAGAGGGGGAGACGAGAAGGTCCTTTTAGGGGACACTTGCTGGGACATGCACTAACCCTTCTACAGTTGGAGGGCTCCCACCTGCAGAGGCAGACTCTGCCGCAGTAGGAAGGGATGAGGCAGCTATTCTGAACCTGGAGCTCCACCACACCTTGCCCCGTCTCACTGAGGCAGTTTTGAGAGGCTGCCCTGGAATACGTCTTGCTGGTGGATGTTGGGAAACAACGTGGGCTTTGATGGGATTCAGGTGGTGTCCGCAGTGTGAAGACAGGAGCTGATGCTCAGCATTTAGGCTGTTTTTCTTGTGATCAGTTGGGTTACCTGTTTGGGACCAAGTCCATCTTTACTAGGGAGGCTGGGTAAATTCCACAGAACACAGTGGCGCTCCCAGGATGACTGAGGCAGGGTGAGAAAGGGGGAAAGTTTTTCCACCTACACTTTTTGCTACCTCAGGAAATAGGGGCTGATTAGGTTACATCTGGCTCTTATCTAATCAATTCGATTTTGGTGCATTTGATCTAATTATCTTCCCCATTTTTTAGGTAGGAAGGGCCATTTTATTTGGTATTTACTTTTTCTCTGCAGTTTTATTTCATCATATATGTATGGATCTAATACAGTCAACCATATCTTGATATTTGTTGTTTCCAAGCATTTGAGAAATTATAATATCTATGTATATAATTTTAACCCTATAATAAATTATCTTCTGTGCAAAATATGTAACATATATCAATATAGGTATGTTTAATTCTGCATCTTGAAAGGTGAACAGGATCATAAATCCTTCCAGGTAGGAACTGGGACAGAAATCGGAAGAAATAATTCCCCAATCTTCTGATCCCTGTGCTCCCAGTTCTTTGTTTCTTGTCACTATGACAGGATCCTGAAAATGTCTCCCCTTAACTGTGTCTAGGTCCCCAGTAGAACTACAGCAAGAAACTTTTCTTATTGGGGCTCTAATGAGTGGCAGGAAAGAGAAACCTGTTCAGCCAATAAGAGTAAGCCACGCCCAGCCAAGGGACCTATAAAAGGCAGGTCCAGCCGATAAACCCACACTCTGCATTTGGACGTGTAAGATAGTAGAGAAGGGTCTCTACAATTTAAGTAGCAGAGGGATAAGACAGCGCACCTTTCACTTGAGCTTCAACATGGGAAAGGGAAACGAAGACCCCTATCTCCACTGCTCCTCCATCCAATGTTCCACTGACCAGCCCCCTTTCCAACAGATCTCCTTTACAGGAAAGGGCTCAGATGAGAAGAAACCGTTCAAAGGAAAAGGCAAGACCGCCTCTTCCCATTCCAGTGAGAAGCACATACAAAGGCAAGGTAAGGCCTTGGGCTGCTCCTATGGAGGCTGGAAGGAGGGTTGGAATCAGGGATACTGAGCTATGTGTCTTTGGTAGGGTTTTGTTTTGAGATTGGGGATGGGAAATGGCTTAGCGCCCTCAGGGGACTTTGAGAAACGTGTTCACTCATGACGCTGGCAAAAGAGCTTCACTTGAAAGACAGATCCGCAAAAATGCATCAGAGATAGAATATGGGACCCTGCCTAGGGAGAGGTGAGTCACCTAAGCTTTCTTTTGCAGTAGGATTAGAGCCAAATCCAAAAATCCAAAAGAGGAGGAGAAGTCCCAGGAGACCAAGCCCAAAGCCAGAAACAGCACTGCTAGATTAGGTAAGATTTGACTCTTTGAAGGTGAGAAGGGACAGGGCAACAACACAGGCTTTCCTGGCAAGGAAACTGGGAGCTCCTTGGCAGCCAGGGCCATACAGATCCTGGACACTGCAGAACAGAAGAGAGCTGGGGTTTGGTGGCAACCTGAGCTCCTGCGTGTCCAGGATGGACTAGGAATTTCAGGGTATTCAGTTGGAGGCACTATTTCAAACTCTCATTGGATTCAAAGAACCAGAGTCCAGCTCATATTGGGGAAACTTCACGAAAAGAAAAATCAGTTCCAAGGACAGCTGCCAAGACAGAGCAGGTATAATCTTGGTGTTTTTTCTTGGTAATGGTGGTGTTTTTGTTGTTTGTTTGTTTTTTTTTTGTGGCCCCAAAGGGCAAATAATCAGGAAACTTTTATACATGTCTTCAGCAGGAAGGGAGTTTCTTAGTGACAAGTAAATTTTTGAGATCTTAGCTCTGAGAATATTTGGGGACTCACAAGGGGTTCAGCCTCACTTCATTCCAGTGCTGAGATGGTCAGGAAGGAGTGGGAGAGACAAGTGGGGTTCACCTGGGTGCACAAGAGGTTCTGGAAATGAGGGTCTGTGGGGACTGCTCTGACGAGTCTCTCACATGCATTCTCTGCAGGGAACTGTCCAGAAGAGGAACGCAGCTTGATGTTAAAAAAAAAAAAAAAATCAAAGTCCTCCACTGCTGTGCACTACAGTGAAATCCAGGAGATCTGTGATGCCCACCATAAGGGACATTCGAGGGCTTGCACTGGGCACAGCCAGTGGCACAGGTCTGGGGCCCTAGGATTCCAATGACCGGCACTTGGAAAAAGCTTGGTGACCTCTGTTGGAGCTATGCTGGAGGCTACTTATCAAGACCTAGCCCAGGTGTGGGCACAGCAGGTCCATTTTCCACTGACCTGAGAGCAGCTCACATTGCTGACTTGGATCTGGGGGCCTCTGTGTGCCCAGGTGCAGACCTTCTATGCCATTGCCACCCAGGGAGCTTAAGTCTTACCTGCTGAGGGTTGGCTTGTCTCAGCCACACTGTCTGGTCCTGGGGATAGAGGCCTGAATAGAGAAGCTCACCCTTTTTTGGGCATGATGTAACTGAGCATGTCAGTGGATCAGATGAGGCTTGAGCTGAGAGGACCCTGGCCCTATTCAGCAGAGGATGCAGCTCTGGGAATGAGAACAAGGACCTGCTACTGCTCAGATTTTTCTAGATGACCAGCAGTGACAATATTAGATGCACTGTGTTAATAAATGACAGAACATGAAGAAATCATAGGAAATAAATTTGAACAATATAATCAGAATGGTAAGCTTTTTTGTAAAAGGCCGATGCTATAGACAAATTTTATATTTCATGTTAGATATGGAGGTCTGGTGACAGTCATGCATTTCTATGTAATCAGGAAAATATTAGAATGTGATCATATGAGTTTGCATATTTTAGATTGTAGAAAAGAAATGTTACCCAGGCTGGAATGCAGTGACACAATCTTAGCTCACTGCAACCTCCGCTTCCTGGGTTCAAACAATTCTCATGCCTCAGCCTCTCAAGTAGCTGGGACTACAGGCATATACCACCATGCCTGGCTATTTTTGTTTTTTTTTTTTTTTTGTATTATTAGTACAGACAGAGTTTTGTCACGTTGGCCAGGTTGGTCTCGAACTCAAGTGATACGCCAGCCTTGACCTCCTAAAGTGCTGGGATTACAGGCATGAACCGCCTTACCAAGAAATTGCTCCTCTTTTATTTCAGAATAGGTTGTAGGCTCTCACTCTTCTAGCCTGAACCCGTGAAGTACTAATATCCAAAAAACATTAATAGCACTTGCTGTGGAAAAATGATTACACATTTTAAAGTTTGATATAATTATAGTAAAATTACCATGCAAGGTGTTTACTTTTAATATTTTTACAAAAAAATTAAGTAACGATATATTAAATGGTAAATGAGTGTACTCATTTATTCACCTGCCTCATGTTTTCATTATAAACATCCTAAATTAAATCCTATTGTATCTTACACATTTCAATTGATTGTATTGTATTGCAGGATATGGAGATTTCATAATATACTACAATAAAGTGTATTTTGTTATATTTAACATATATTCTACTTGTATTTTATATTGAGGTCATACAATCTTTCATTATTTGTTTTAATTATTTGGTTGCTTTATAATTTTCATTATATGTAATAATGTACATTGATGTTGTTTGGAATTTTAAATTTCAAGATAATTTTGTCTTACTTTCATATGGAATTAGTGTTTACTATAGATGTGAAAAAGAGAATGACTTATCTTTATTTCTGTGTCATCCTAACCCTGACCTCCCCACTGCCCATAGCTCTTGTCGTAGTCGGGAAATCGTGTTCTGTCACTCCAGTAAACGGGGCGATTCGATGATACCACACAGATATAAATTGCAGATGTAGAGCTTTTGTTCAAGACCAGTGCAACGGAAAAAAATCACAGGCATGTGAGTCACACAATTTTCGGGTTGTCAGTGCTTATAAAAATTATGCTTAAACTGTGCTGTAGAATAAGTCTGAAACACCCTTACGTCTATTAAACAAATGCACATACCTAAATAACGTGTCTAAATGGGAATGTAAATATCTTCACGAAACGTACTTTGTTGCAAAGTACACTTGCAACAAATAACAGTAACACAGAGATACAGTAGCATCATATAAGGTTGAAGAAATAGAGATGAGAAGAAAAACAGAGACAGCGAGAAAGGGAGAGACGGAGAGAGGAAAAGACAGACGGCGGCGGGGACATTGGAGAGGAGAAAAGAGAGGGAGGAAGAGAGGCGGGAAAGACAGAAGAAAGGCAGGGGAGGCGCGACGGGGCGAGGGACGGGGAGGAAAGCGGTCTCCCGCCTCCAGGGCGGGCCGAGGGCTGGGCCCGCGGGGCGCTCACGTCCCTCCGGATCGCCCGCCTGGGTCCGCTCGCCGCGGAGAGAGTCTCAGCAGTTCCGACTCCCGAGGAACGGGCGACTTCCCGAAACACCCAAGGGCCGCAGCGCAGGCGGCCGCCCGCTTTCCGCCCGCGCGGTTCACGGACCGCACATCGCCGGGCCGGGCCCTGCCACGGAGCCAGAGCCGGATGCCCCGAACACGCAGGAGTCACAGGGCGACCGGAGCGTGACTTCGGATTCCACGTTGCTTTGCCCTCTGCAAGGGGCCTGCTGGCCACTATCAAGGTATAGCAATTGAAGCAGCATGACACTAGAATAAAAACAGACATAAATACAAATGGAATGAAATGGAGAACTTAGAAACAAACTCATACAGCTAAACTAAACCTATTTTCAACAAAAGTGTCAAGAACATACAACAAAAAATAAGACAGTTTCTGTAACAAACGGGGCTGGGAAAACTGGCAAGCCATGGGCAGAAGAATGAAACTAGAACCCTACTTCTTGCCACATACAAAAATGAAAATGAATTAAAGACTTAAACCTAACGCCTCAGACTGTCAAACTTTTACAAGAAAACATTGGGGAAACTCTTTAGGGCATTGGTTTGGGCAAAAATCTCTTAAACTATGCCCCATAAGCACAGACAACCAAAGCAAACATGGACAAATGGAATTACAGCAAGTAAGAAAGCTTTTTTAAAGTGAAGGAAACAATAAAGTGAAGAGAAAACCCACAGAATGGGAGAAAATATTTGTAAATTACCCATCTGAAAAGCAATTAATAGCTACATGATATGGTTAGGCTTTGTGTGCCCACCCAAATCTCATACTGAATTGTAATCCCCAGGTGCTGAGGGAGAGACCTGGCAGAAAGTGATTGGATCATGGGGGTGGTTCCCCCCAGGCTGTTCTTCTGATAATGAGTGAGTTCTCATGAGATCTGATGGTTTTATAAGGGGCTCTTCCCCCTTTGCTTCACATACATGCTCTCTCGCCTGCTGTCGTGGAAGAGGTGCCTGCTTCCCCATCTGCCATGATTGTGAGTTTCCTGAGGCCTCTCCAGCCATGTGGAACTGTGACTCAGTTAAACCATTTCCTTTATAAATTACCCAGTCTCGCCAGGCGCAGTGGCGCATGCCTGTAATCCCAGCACTTTAGGAGGCTGAGGCAGGTGGATCACGAGGTCAAGAGTTCAAGACCAGCCTCGCCAAGATGGTGAAACCCCATTTCTACTGAAAATACAAAACTTATCTGGGCATGGTGGTGGGTGCCTGTAATCTCAGCTACTCAAGAGGCTGAGGCAGAGAATTGCTTGAACCTGGGAGTTGGAGGTTGCAGTGAACCAAGATCATGCCAGTGCACTCCAGCCTGGGTGACAGAGCAAGACTTCATCTCAATACATAAATAGATAAATAGATAAATAACCCAGTCTCAGTTTTTTTTATAGCAGTGCAGAAACAGACTAATACACTACAATATATTGAGTTCAAAATATTCTATAGAAAAATTCTAGTAATCCAGTTAAAGAGTGGACAAAAACTTAAATGAACAGTTATGAAAAGAAGACATACAAATGGCAAACAGACAAGTGAAAAGGTGCTCCACATTACTATCATCATAGAAATGCAAATCAAACCCAAAATGAGATACCATTTCACCCCAATTAAGGTGGCTTTTATTTCCAGAAGTCAGTCAAAAACAAATGTTGCTAATAGCCAAGATTTGTAAGAGACCTAAATGTCCATCAGCAGATGACTGGATAGAGAAAATGTGGTACATATACACAGTGGAGTACTATTCAGCTATAAGAAAGAATAAGAGTCTGTCATTTACTGTAACATAAATGGAACTGAAAGTCTTTATATTAAGTGAAATAAGTCAGGCACAGAAAGACAAATGTCAGATGTTCTCACTTATTTGTGGGTGCTAAAATTAGAAACAATCGATGTCATAGAGATAGTATAAGGATGGATACTGGAGCTGGGAAGGGCAGTGTGGGAAATGGGGGATAGTGGGGATGCTAAATGGGTACAAAAAATTTTTAGAAAGAATGAATAAGACAGTATTTGATAGCATAACAGGGTGATTATAGTCAAAAATAATTTAATTATACATTTTATAAAAACTAAAATACTATTTTAATTGGATTGTTTATAACACAAGCTATAAATGCTTGAGGGGACAGATACCCTGTTTTTTATTATGTATTACTCATTACATGCCTGTATCAAAGTATGTCATGTACCCCCATAAATATATACACCAAGTATGTACCCACAAAAATAAATTAAAAATTAAAATTAAAATTAAAACCAAAGCGAGGAGAGTATAATGAGGCATATGTGACCCATGGCTTGAACTAGCTTTTCAGGTTAACTTTGGAATGTCCTTACCCAAGAAGAGGGTTCCATTTAGTCAATAGGGGTTTAGAAATTAATTTTTAGTTTATAAGTGGAAAAAAGAAGGATTTTTAATCCTGAGCCATAGCTCTCAATCAATCCCTGCAGGGAACCCTGTTCTTTACTCTGGAGATAAACACTAGTTTTCTTTCCCACTGAATAACACCACGTTTCAAAATGAGGGGAAACATCTTGAGACTAAGATGTACAGCCTTGTTAAATTTGATTTGATTTCAATTGTAATTAATTTAATCATGTATGTTCTAGAGTTTGTCTTCAGTCTTCTCCTACTTTAGGCCCATGATCTGTTGAATTTGCTCAGCTCCCTGCTCAATAGCAGGAAATCAGAATTATCTAAAAACCTCATTGTGGCTGTCAGCGGTGGCTCATGCCTGTAATCCCAGCAATTTGGGAGGCCAAGGTGGGCAGATCACTTGTTGTCAGGGGTTTGAGACCAGCCGGCCAACAGAGTGAAACCCCGTCTCTACTAAAGATACAAAAATTAGCTGGGTGTGGTGATTCATGCCTGTAATCCCAGCTACTTGGGAGGCTGAGGCAGGAGAATCACTTGAACCTGGGAGGCGGAGGTTTCAGTGAGCCAGGATGGTGCACCGCACTCCAGCCCGGCAGCAGAGCAAGACTCTGTCTCAAAATGATAATAACAATAATTAATAAATAAAAATCTCATTGTGTTCCAGACAAAATTTCTTTTGCATATCAACTGTGTCAACTTGCATATTAACTATAATCATTTGTTACTTTATATCCAATCCTGAGAAATCTCTGAGGACTAATTTCACTCTTTTCTGCCATTTTGGTAAACATACCAAATGCCATCAAACAAAATGCACAAAATTCCTGAGAAATACATTTTCTCCTTGAGGAGTAGACTTGCTGTATTAGAGGAACTCATGGTTACCAAGCTTCTAGTTTAATACACATGACTAGAATACTCTATCTTAATATGAGTAGCTAGGTACTCACCAGGCATCTAGAAGGTTAATACCTATAGTCTGAAAATAGTCACATTTTTTAGCTGGCCACAAATTACAATTGCAGAATATTTATGGCCACACAAGACATCTTCCACCAAGCCTAAAAAATGTATAAATGTCCTAGGAGTGCAGCATTTTTTCTTAAAGATAATATTAATGAGCTAGCTTAGGTCAACGGGTTAATGGTCATTGTTAAAACCAATAGCCCCGACTTTAGTGAGTACATCTGCACCTTCCAAGTTTAATTATAACTCTTTCTCTTTATAGTTACTTATAAGTACAGACACTAACAAAAGACAATGCATTCCTGCTCTTGTTTTCTGAGGATGTCCAACTCCGTAATGGAGTCATTTCTAATAAACTTGCTTCTTTCACCTCAAATTTCTTCCTGCACAAGATCTAAGAATCCTACTTTGTGGTCTGTATCAGGACCCTCTTTTCCAGCAACATCTTTCAGCAATGCCATGAAGGGACACCAAGACAAGACCCCCACTCCAAGGAAAACAGTCCACACAGAATCAATCAGCTGGCAAGTGGGCTGTCTTTTAGAGTCGTGAAGCCATTCAGGTGGGCAAGAATGATTATCCACTATTACTTAAGTGAGAGGCCCTAGGGTATAATGTTAGGGTGAGAGACTCAGCCCAAAGTTAGAGACCTGGGGGTGTCATACTCAGATTAGAGGCCAAGCTCACAAGGTTAGAGGCCCTGGGGTATATTGAGAAGAATGGATTTGGCTAAACAAGATGTTTGCCACTTTCTCTTTTTGGACTGTCCACCTTGTGCTCTCTGTCCCTCACCTGAGTGCTCTGCATCTTGTCACCTTTCTGCTCACCACCTCTGTTTTCTAGTAGCCTGGAGGCTGCCCCAGGAAAGAGGCCCCAAACAGTTTAGCTTTTACTTTTCTCAGTGATCCTCTGACTTTTAGCTGACTGCTTATTTAATTTGCCACTGGTCCAAGTGACACAAAAAAAGAGATGTCTTGGAACCTAGACAGAAAAGATCAGCAGTAACCTCTCCATCATTATGACTAGAAGTTGAAATGTATTTAACAGCCCTACATGATAAGATCAGATACGCCTGTTTAGTGAGAGCCTGTTTTATGACAACCCTTTGCAAACAGTTAGCCTCAAGATGGAGAACATGAGACTTTTTCTTAACAGTTTTCTCTCATTTCTTAACCATAAGGCCATCTTTGATGAGCTGGTATAGGGCAGCTGGACCCTACTTTCTAAACCCAGCATGTCACTTTTTTCCCGAAAGAGTTTTGTCAGTTTTGTCATAGCAGTTTTGTCATAGCATAGTCCATTTTGAAAATGGACTAATACATTACAATATACAAGTTACAGCCTTCCCATTTCCCCTGTTTGGCCTGACTTCTTTTTTTGCAGCTTAATTTGTTTTATAGAAGAGAAACTAAGTGGGAGGAAATACATTATATACAGGCTTCTCTGATGCTTGATCAGGATAAAAAATTAAATTGGGCTTCTATATGTTTGATGGAGGAAAAGACAAAATAGGGATGGCACATAATTGATTACCCTTTTAATGCAAGTGCCTCTTAATATCAGGCTTTTCTTAGCTGGGGCTGAACTCCCCCTGCCAGTCTGAGCACCCCATAAGAACACTGTCAGACTCCTTCCAGTTCTGGTGAGGTGTGCAACATGTTATTAATTCCTTCTAGTTTTCCAGGGTTATCTAGTGTCTGGTCATCCTCTTCTCCCTGCCCTTCGAGTCCTGTCTTACATACACACCCCACTCTCGAAACACCCGAGCTTCACCAGAATAACATGCAGTGGGGCCTCTTATCAGCTGGCAAACTTGAATGTTTGCCCTCTCTGGGAAGTGACAGATGATAATAAGGACACTATATAGGTATATGTACCCTTTTCTATGTCTGAATTAGCCATATGCAAGGAGAAACTAAAACAGTTTTCAGAGGTTCTGGGAAAACTCATAGACTAATTTAAGAGGCCAACCTGGATGTATGATTTGCCCAGGCAGGATTTGCATATATTTATGTTTACCTGCTGCATGGTAGAAAAGCAGTGCATTATAGGAGTGGCTAGAGTACATGCTAATAGGGTGGCAGCCTGCAACCAGGGACATGACACCTATCAAGTAGGAGGCACAGCAGTGCCTGACTAGGACCCAAAAGAGAACTAGAATCTAGAAAAGACAAATGAATTAGGAAGAAAGTGGGATATAGAGAGATATAGAAATTGGGATAAAAAATTATGATCATTTGACTCCTTGAAGGAATAAAACCTAGCCTTATTACAAGGGTGGATAATTTAGACTTTGAGGAAATACACCAACACTGACCCTGACTCCAAGAAGGGACAGGTATTGCTAGCAGTTTATTTTATAGCCCAGTCTGCTTCTGATATCTGCAGGAAGCCACCAAAAGCAGCCTTAGACTTCCAGACTCCCATGGATCAGATTTTAGATTTGGATTGTGCAGTTTTCCATCACAGGAATAGGGCAGAGACAACATAAAATAAAGCAAATCTCGCAAGAGGCCCAGCTTCTAGCTGCAGCCTTGTGCTCTCCACCACTTCAGAGGCAGCCCCTTAACCCCTGGCCCTTTCTGCATTATGGTGGTGACCACTGATGACCGTATACCTGGCCGTCGAGTGACCGGCTGTGCTGTCTTACAGGTCAGTGTGGGGCCGGAAACAACTGGGCCAAGGGACGCTACACCGAAGACACGGAGCTGATGGAGTCAGTGATGGACGTTGTCAGAAAGGAGGCTGAGAGCTGTGACTGCCTGCAGGGTTTCCAGCTGACCCACTCCCTGGGTGGGGGGACTGGGTCTGGGATGGGTACCCTTCTCATTAGTAAGATCCGGGAGGAGTACCCAGACAGGATCATAAACACATTCAGCATCCTGCCCTCGCCCAAGGTGTCAGACACCGTGGTGGAGCCCTACAACGCCACCCTCTCAGCCCACCAGCTCATAGAAAACACAGATGAGACCTTCTGCATAGATAACGAAGCGCTGTATGACATATGTTCCAGGACCCTAAAACTGCCCACACCCACCTATGGTGACCTGAACCACCTGGTGTCTGCTACCATGAGTGGGGTCACCACGTGCCTGCGCTTCCCGGGCCAGCTGAATGCTGACCTGCGGAAGCTGGCCGTGAACATGGTCCCGTTTCCCCGGCTGCATTTCTTCATGCCCGGCTTTGCCCCACTGACCAGCCGGGGCAGCCAGCAGTACCGGGCCTTGACTGTGGCTGAGCTCACCCAGCAGATGTTTGATGCTAAGAACATGATGGCTGCCTGTGACCCCCGTCACGGCCGCTACCTAATGGCGGCTGCCATTTTCCAGGGTCGCATGCCCATGAGGGAGGTGGATGAACAGATGTTCAACATTCAAGATAAGAACAGCAGCTACTTTGCTGACTGGCTCCCCGACAACGTAAAAACAGCCGTCTGTGACATCCCACCCTGGGGGCTAAAAATGTCGCCACCTTCGTTGGGAATAATGCGGCCATCCAGGAACTCTTCAAGCGTGTCTCAGAGCAGTTTACAGCAATGTTCAGGTGCAAGGCCTTCCTCTACTGGTACACGGGCGAGGGCATGGATGAGATGGAATTCACCGAGGCCGAGAGCAACATGAACGACCTGGTGTCTGAATATCAGCAATATCAGGATGCCACGGCCGAGGAGGAGGAGGATGAGGAGTATGCCGAGGAGGAGGTGGCCTAGAACTCTCCTTTTCTAGGTAAAGGGGGGAGGCAGTGTGGGTTCTTCACTGTGTTCTGACAGCCATGTGTCACTATGCGCTTGTTCATTTGTGTCTTCACATCTCCTGCTGCGTTTTAAAGCATTTTTATAGTATGCGGTTTTGCCTAATAAAGCATTTTCACAGCATCTGGTTTCACCTCCATCTTCTTTCTATGGGCCCTCTGGCTACTGCTGCCAGATGCGCATAGTTGTCCTGCAAGGCAGAAGCTGTCTGGGCTTATCACATGCCCAGGAACAAGCATTCCAGTGGCTCCAGGAGGGCTCGGCATGGGCTGTGGACATGGCAGGCAGGCTTCACATGAACTTGGGGATGCCCTGGGCCTTGGGCAGCGACGTGGTGGAAAACCTGTTCCTGAAGGCAAGCCTTGGCTTATCCCATGTGCCAAACTTCTAGGGGACCAGCTGGCCATGTTTCTGGAACTTTAAAAGGGGTCAGCGAACCCTGCTGGACAATGTCCCCAGAGTCCCATCTCGGGGTAGGAATGTGGTCAGACAGCTGGCTCTGAACCAGCAATGAAGGGTGGGCAAGTGGGACCCCAGCGACTCCATCACCACGATGGCCTGGGTGTGATTGTGTGGCCTCATTCTCTTCACGAGGTGGGCATGGGATATCTGGCAGGGACTAGGCAGGGATCAAGCCCAGTGTCTGCTAACATGCACTGAACCCCAAGTAGAAGGGGATTAGGTCCTGGGGGCCGTAGATGTGGTTGCTGGGCCTGTGACATGCACTGAACCTGATGTAGAAGGGGATTAGGTCCTGGGGGCCGTAGATGCGGTTGCTGGGCCTCTGTGCTCAGGGCAGTCCCTCCAAAGGCACAGATGGGGTTTCTGAACAGGACCTGGGGAGACAGGCAGGTGCTCACAAATGCTGCTTCCCCCAACTGGCAACCAGTGAGAAAAACGCCTGAGTGGAGGTCTGACCTGCCCCAGTCTGGAGGGCTGATGCTCTCTGGAAAGGTGGCTAATGCGTACTGTCTGCTGTCTCCCTGTCCCCCACTCCAAAACCTCAGGGCAAAAATAATCCAAGATTGCCAGGATGAGCCTGGTGAGGGTGGCACCTTTGGGGACAGGCCCTTCAGCCTGGCAGAGTCTCCTCCCCAGGCTTCTTGGGGAGCCTGGACTGCAAAAGCCTGCTTTGGGGAAGCTGTCAAATGAGAGCTGTGTGTGTGAGCTGGGCGCTGGGCAGCATGCACGGACAGTGTTCTTCTCCCTGGCTCTTGTAGAACTTGTCCACGGCCTGTGTGATGGTCTCTTGGTAATTCCCACCCCCACCCCCACCCCCAGCCCTATCGCACAGATAAGATGAAGCCAGCATAGCCTGGGGGTGGGCAGATGAACAGGTTCTACCCCAGGTCCCCTGGGAATGCCCACCTGCCTCCGACGTGTCAGGGAAAACAGGTGAGGCCCCTTCTTGTTCTCTGAATGTTGTCAATGGTCTATTGCAGCCAAATGGGAACAGGCAGGCAGGAGAGTGTCTCATCTCAAAAGAAGTGGCTCCTGGAAGCAGCTGGGAGGTGGGAGAGGTTCCCCACACTCGCCCACACTCGCCCACACTCGCCCACACTCGCCCAACCTGTTCTAAGAGCAGGAAAAGGGGCCTTTGTGACAGCCCCTCTCAGTGGCAGCCCCTCTCAGTGGCTCTCACTGTCTGAGGGGTGTCCTTGCCCAACCCAGGTGCGCACCCATCTGAGATGGTCTTGCATGGACCTGGTTAGGAAGGTTCAGCTGCAGCAACCACCGGAACCTGCCCACACCTGGTGTCTCCACTCACGTGTGGGGCTAGATGTTCCTCCCTCCTGTAGTGGTACAGCCAGACTGGCAGAGGGGGCAAGTCACCACTGCAGTTCCCACCTAGGTCTGATGGGGGGTCAGGCTTGGTGCCCATGTATTTCCCAACTACCTGGTTCCATGTGGGGGCTTCATGGACAGGAGTGGTGCTTTTCCAGGCCTCTTTTCCACATGCCAGCTACAGGCCCAGGTTTCCCAAGTTTCTGGAGCCCCTCTTCCAGCCTGGCAAGCAAGTCGTGTTGTAGGGGAAGGACATCAAGCCTACAGGCAGCAGAACCTGTCTGGGTATGTTCTCTCCACCTGGAGGCCCCTGGTTGTTTACCTCTTTGGGTGAGAGTCAGCTTAGGATCTCAACATTCTTGTAGGACTTCAGAACTGTACAGACAGGGGTCCAGGAGGGAACAGGGGCTGGGACTGGCAGCTAACCAGAGTGGTGGGTGTTGTAGGGCTGTTTGGTCTTGCGGGGAATTCAGGGAGGCTTGGATTTGCTGAAGCTGTAGACGAGCTTGGGCTTGGATACGGAAACAGCATAGAGCAGGGGCCCTTCTGCACACTGGACTCTGAGTAGTTGCACCCTGGTGTATCCACAGGTGTTCCCCACCTGGAGCACAGCTGTGGATAGAAGCCGGGAGAGCTGTGGAGGGAAGAGGAGGTGGAGGGAGTCTCAGGGCAGCCCCAGCATCCAGGCAGGGCCTCTGCAAGTTAGATACAGATCCCGCCTGTTGGCCACTCAGCAGCTGCTCGGTCGGCTGCAGATCACCTGACCTCTGTTCACCAGTAAATGGGGGTTGCAGCAGCACTTACCTTCTGGGACTCCTGCAGATTGAAGGGGCAGCACACAACACGTGCTGAGAAAGCGCCAAACTCAAGCAAGCTTCTCCAAGAGCACCACATCAGATTAACACCCAACCTGTACAGGACACCATCAAATCTCCCCACCCCTCATTCCAATGGAAGAAAAGGGAGTCTCTGTCCTAGGGGAGCAAGCACAGGCCTATCTATGCAGTGGGCACATGGCCCAGGTGGTGGAAAGGCTCTTGGATACATGCTGGTTTCACCAACCATCTGTGGGTTGGGTTTGGCCTGGACACCTGTACCCCAGGAGGCCGGCAGCCCCCTGCATGGGAGAGGACTGGGAGGCGGGTGGGAGGGCTGAGCTTTGAGGGAAGCCATTATTTGGCCTCATGGGAAGTGGTGCAGGTGGTTGTTGGTGGCTCAGTTTTGCAGGACCTGGGTGATCACCCAAGGAGTGAAAATTGCCTTTTTATGAGAAATTGCCAAAATTGATGCAAGCTTATCAGTTGAAAAGGTGAGTAATGCTGACAGTTGGCTTCACCTGCCCCTTCCCCACAAGTAACTGGTGTTCAGAGGTGGATTTGGTTCCTTCCCAGCCTTTCCCGTTTGCATGTAGATGTGTGCATGTACTTTTGTGTGTACACACACGTTCCCTGGAGGGGTTACTTTTATTTTTTTATTTGGGGGGATAACTAGTGAGGCAGCCTGACACTTGCTGATCTTGTCTTTTAAGTGTGGAGTCCTCTATGGAGTGGGCATCGGGTACTTCCTAGCTGGCCTCTGCCAGCTGTTTGGCTGCCCCAGTTTCTGCCCTTCACAGACATGCTGGCCACCTGGTGTGACATTCAGTGGCCTTGTTTGCAGCTAGTGTGATGAGACAAGTGGATCAGGTACATTATAAACTGAAAAAGCACACAACATGCAGAGGGAAAGGATAAATGACCATGTGTGTCCTGCTCTGCTGAAGTCCACATCACATGACTGAGACGACAAACATTTTTTCGCCTAACATTTGGGCCCTGAGAAAAGGCATTTATGTTTTACTTTTTATTTATAACAGAGTTAGGAGAAATACTACCAGGCTTTCTTTTCCATTATCCCCAACTCCCACTTTACCCCCTCAAGTTTACCTACCTCAGAGAGAAAGCGGAGCTCGCCTGATGAATGAGAGCCTGAAATTATTCGAGCCAGGTCACTGTGTAAAAGGTCATACTGCTTCCATCTCCTTGTGCATCACTTGCGCAGCTCAGATATTTCATGGCTCCCTGTATACAGGTAGCTGTGTTACCCTCCTAGCCGCTTTCTTGGTTTGATACATGCCTGGGAGCATGTGGGAGCAGTTAAGGTCTAGGCTCATGGGAGGACAGTTCTGCCCACCCCAGCTCATCTCTCCAGCTCAGCCTGCATGTATGCCTTCCTCCAACTGATTCCAGAGTAGGGGATGGGAGGTCTCACGTTGACCTCAAGTTTATGTGACTTTTTCCATCTCTGCTTTCCCAGACAGCCCTTGCTGTGGGACTTGTAAGGAGATTTGTGAAGTCAGTATCTACTTTTCTTGTGTGGGTGTTTATAAATTATTCCCCTGGAGGGGAATAAATGTTAGAGGTACTCCAAACCCCTAACATGTAAACATCTAAGCCTGGCCCTTTTTTGGTGGTAAAATATACACAACATAAAACTTACCATTTTAACCATGTTTAAACGTACAGTTGAGTGGCATCCAGTATAATGTGTTGTACAACCATCTCCTTTATCCATATCTACAACTTCTTTATCAGCCTAAACTGAAACACCAAACCCATAAATAAGTCTTTGAATAGAAGACTGATGCATTTGACTCCATACAAATTAAAACTTTATAGGCGAGAAAAATGCCTCAAAGTCAAAAGTGAACAGACTGGGGAAATAGATCTGCAACATACATGACAGACAAAAAGCTAATTTGGGTAATATATATGTATATATATAGCTATATAGCTATCCTAAATTATTAAAAGACCAACAGCCAAATTGAAAAATGGACAAGGGATGTAAAGAAACAGTTCAAGGAAACAAGTAGATTTTTAAATATTTGCTAATTTTTTTACTGTGGTAAAATACGTATAACAGAAAAGTACATTAAGTATAAATACATTGTTGTGCAACTGTCACCACTATCCATTCCAACCCTGTCTTATCATCCCAAAGTGAAACTCTGTATCCACGGAACAATAGCTCCCCTTTCCCTTCCCCCCATCCCCTGGAAACCACATCCTACTTTCTGTGTCTATGAATTTAATTGCTCTAGGTATGCTATAAAAGTGGAAAGCATAGAGTATTTGCATTTTTTTGTTTTAATCTTTTCAAGGTTTATGTTGTAGCATGTATTAGAATTTCTTTTTAAGGCTGAATAATATATCATTGTGTGTATTGATCATATTTGTTTATCCATTCATCTGTAGATGGACATTTGGGCTTTTTCTACCCTCTGGCTCTTGTGAATGCTGCTATAAACAGGGATGTGCGAATTCCCACTTTCAGTTTTTTGGGGTATATACCCAGATGTGGAATTACTGTATCATATGGTGATTACTGTTTTCCACAGTGGCTGTGCCATCTTACTTTCCCACCAGCAGTGTGCAGGAGTCCTGACTTCTCCACATCAGCATTTGCTGTTCTCTGGGGCTTTGTTGTTTTGCTTTGCTGGTGGTGGTGCTTTTGATGGCAGCTATGCTTACATGTGTTAGTTGGTATTGCACTGTGGTTTGGATTTACTTTTTTCTCACGATTAGTGATGCTGAGCACCTTATCCTGTGTTTACTGGTCATTTGCATATCTTCGTAAGAGAAATGTGTATTCTAAAACCTTTGCTCATGTTTAAATTTGATTGTTTTGTTGTTGTTGCTGAGGTCTTTATATAGCCTAGATATTAATTACTTATCAAATATATAATGTGTGAATATTTTCTTTCCCTTCATGAATTTATTTTCAATCTATTGATCATATCTTCAGATACATAACAGCTTGTCACTTTGATGAAGTTCTTTTTATGTATTTTTGTTGTTGTTGTTGTCTGTGCTTTCACTGTCATATCCAAGAAATTATTGCCAGATTCTATGTTATGAAACATTTTTCCTATGTTTCTTCTAAGGGTTTTATAGTTTTAGCTCTTACAATTAGATGTTTAGTCCATTTTAAATTAAGTTTTTTATATGGTGTAAAGTAAGGGTCCAACTGTATTGTTTTCCATGTAAATATTCATTCTTAACACCATTTAAAAATATACTGTCCTTTCCCCATAGTTTTTACTCCCTTGTTAAAAATCATGACTGTGTTTTTTGGTTCTCTATTTCTATTGCATTGGTCTTTATGTCTGTCTCTATGGTGGTACAGCATTGTTTTGGGTACTGAAGCATTGCAGTAAGTTTGAAACCAGGAGGTGTTAGTCCTCTAACTTTGTTAGTTTTTAAGATTGATTTGGCTACTTGGGGTTTTTTGAGATTTCATCTGAATTTCAGAATAGGTTTTTCTATTTTTGCAAATATTGGAATTTTTATAGTGATTTTATTGAATCTGTAGATAACTATTGATAACAATGGCGTCTTGATGAGGTTTTGTCTTCCAGTCCATAAACACATGATGTCTTTTCATTTATTTGTGTCATCTTTAATACTTTCCTGCAATGTTTATAGTTTTGCTGTACAGGTTTTTCATTTCCTTGGTTAAGTGGGCTTCTAAGTATTTTATTCTTTTGATGCTATCATACATGATACTGTTGTCTTGATTTCTTCTTCAGATAGTTTGTTATTGTAGAAATACAACCGATTTTTGTGTCTTGATTTTGTATCCTGCAGTTTTGCTGAATGTTATTTATTGCATCTGATAGTTTATCTCACAGAAACTAAAAGATTTTTAATACATAAAGTTATGTCATCTGCGAACAGAAAATTTTACTTTTTTAAAAATTGGAATATCTTTTATTATTTTACTTGCCTTATTGTTTTAACTAACTAGAACCTTCAGTACTATATTAAATAGAAGTAGTAAAAGCAGGCATCCTTGATTTTGCTCTTAGGGTAAAAGCTTTCAGTCTTTCATTATAATGTTAGCTGTGTGTGTTTTTAAATATAACCTTATGTTGTTTTATTCCTTTTTATAGCTTATTAAGTGTATTTTATCATGAACGTGGGTTAAATTTTGACAAATGCTTTTTCTTTGATTAAGGTGATCACGAGGTTTTTTCCTTCTTTATGTTAATGTGATATTATGCTGATTTTCATGTGTTGGAACATTTATTTCAGGAGTCAATTATACTCATTCATAGTGTATAATCCTTTTAATGTACTGCTAAATTTGAATTGCTGGTATTTTGTTGAGGATTTTTGCATCAGCATTTGTAAGGGATGTTTGTTTGTAGTTTTCTTATGGTGCCTTTGTCTGGCTTGGTGTCAAGGTAATACTGGCCTCATAGAATAAGTTAGAAAACATTACCTCCTCTTCAACGTTTTGAAAAAGTTTGAGAAAAACTGGTGTTAATTCTGCTTTAAACGTTGGGTAGAATTCAACAGTGAAGCCATCTGGTCCAGGCTTTTCTTTGTTGCTGGGTTTTTGATTACTTATGCCATCTTCCTGCTGAATCTCCTTGCTGAATAGGTTTATTCAACTGTTCTGATTCAGTCTTAGTAGGTTTTTTGTTTCTAGGAATTTGTTCATTTTATTTAGGTTACTCAATTTTTTAGTGTATAGTTCCTTATGGTACTCTCGTGCATCCTTTTTTTACTCCAAAAATTTGTTAGTAATGTACCCATTTTATTTTTGAGTTTAGTAATTTGAGTATTCCCTTTTTTTCCTTAGTCAATCTATATAAAATTTTGTCAATTTTGATCTTTTTCAGAGAACAAACTTGGTTTTGTTGATTTTTGATATTGTTTTTCTGTTCTCTATTTCACTTATTTCCACTGCTATCTTTATCATTTTTAAAATTTTGCTAGCTTTTAGTTGTCCCTCTTTTAGTTGTCCCTCTTTTAGTAGTCCCCTTTTTTCCCTCTGTTTTTAGTTCCTTAGGAGTAAAGTTGTTGATTCGGTATCTTATTTTTTATTATCATTTATAGCTATACATTTTTCCCTTATGGTATTATTTTTGATGTATCTCTTAACTTTCGGTATTTCATATTTTTAATTTGTCTCTAGATATTTTCTGTTTTCTCTTGTGATTTCTTTTATCCATCCTTGAGTGTTTAATACCTATATTTTTAGACATAAAATGTGAAACCTACAAAATTTTCTTGATTTGTTACAGTTTTATTTGTTGTAAGTTTTTATTTAAGAATTAAATGTGTGTATCAACATTTGTTATGTTCTCATAAACTTTGTAATACATGGAGATTCCTGGTCCACATATATAAGCCTCTACATGAATATTATTTTGAAGCATTTAATTTTCTGTTTTAAGATTTCAAAGGTCTAAATGAAATTGAGATTTTGGTTTCTGAGATGAAATCATGGTAGGTGACTGATAAATGCTTAAAAATTAGCCAAAACTTATAATTAAGTTAAAGTTTACCTTCAAGATTCAACCTGAATGAGTTGCCCTGTATTGCTGGTAATAAAAAATAAGTCTTTAATGGTATAAAAGCAAACTTCAGAGAATGTCTTTTTTTCCCCCATTGACATCTAAATTAAAAGCTGTAAAAAATTTTGATGGCCTTATGCATTTTTTACTTTAGAATTCCAACTTTTTCTGGTTAAAATTTTTCCAAACAGATTCCTGTGTATTTGAAAGACAAATAATTTTTTAGTTAAAATGCTTAAGCAGTTAAATAAGGCCACGAAACTTTCTTGAACTTGTGGGAATCCATGAGAAAATCTGACATTATGTTCTGTTCTCTTGGAAGGTAGAAATATCGTTTGACTTCTGTTTTGCTGACAAGAAATGTGGTCCTGAGCAAGGCTGCCTGGGACAATGACCTCACACATGGATAATGCTGGAGCCCATCTGTCTCCAATCTGCTGTTTTCCAAAAATTAGGGAAGTTCAGTTTTCCCTTTGATACTCTCTGTTTCTACCAACCCCAACGCCAGGGCTGTCCTGCTTCTACAAGTGACAATGACAAATATAGGCCTGAAGGAAGATGAGCTGATGGCATTCCCAGCTTATTACCACTCCTTGGGGGCCTTATCTCACATACGTGGATTCAATTCATAGACTCAGGTGGGTGAGGATCTATTGTTCAGCTACATTAGAAGTGACTGCTTAAGACTCTGGTGTGTGGTGAAATGAGGCAGAATTTTCTCAATGGCGTGTTGGGAGAAGTTTCTCCTCATAATTACCATCTTACTATCACTAAATCATAGCTAAAATAAGGAAATTATTCAAGAAGAAATAGAAATGTAATCTTATGAAGACATAAATTTAGAGATTTGTGGAAAGCCCTTCATAATTTCATGGTGTTCTCTTTGAGCTGGGATTATAGTTGATATTTCATTATAATATATTAGCTGTTCTAGACTTTATGCATTTATGTAAAGTTTTCTTTGTTGTACTTTAAGTTCTGGGATACATGGGCAGAGCATGCAGGTTTGTTACATAGGTATACACGTGCCATGGTGGTTTGCTGCACCCGTCAACCTGTCATCTACATTAGGTATTTCTCCTAATGCTATTCCTCCCCCAGCCTCCCACCCCCGACAGGCCCCAGTGTGTGATGTTCCCCTCCCTGTGTCCATGTGTTCTCATTGTTCAACTCCCACTTATGAGTGAGAACATGCAGTGTTTGGTTTTCTTTTCTTCTTTTTCTTTTTCTTTCTTTTTTTTTTGAGACAAAATTTCACTCTTGTCGCCCAGGTTGGAGTGCAATGGCATGATCTTGGGTTACCACAACCTCTGCCTCCTGGGTTCAAGCGACTCTCCTGCCTCAGCCTCCCAAGTGGCTAGGATTACAGGCATGTGCCAACATGCCTGGCTAATTGTGTCTATTTTTAGTAGAGACGGGGTTTCTCCATGTTGGTCAGGCTGGTCTCAAACTCCTCACCTCAGGTGATCTGCCTACTTCAGCCTCCCAAAGTTCTGAGACTACAGGCATGAGCCACTGCTCCTGGCCTGGTTTTCTTTTCTTGTGTTAGTTTGCTGAGAATGATGGTTTCCAGCTTCATCCATGTCCCTGGAAAGGACATAAATGTGTAGTATTCCATGGTGTATATGTGCCACATTTTCTTTATCCACTTTATCATTGATGGGAATTTGGGTTGGTTCCAAGTCTTTGCTATTGTGAACAGTGCTGAAATAAACATACAGTGCATGTCTTTATAGTATAATAATTTATAATGCTTTGGGTATATACCCCGTAATGGGATTGCTGAACCTTGAGGAATTGTCACACTGTCTTCCATAATGACTGAACTAATTTACACTCCTACCAACAGTGTAAAAGCATTCCTATTTCTCCACAGCCTCATCAGCATCTGTTGTTTCCTTACTTTTTAATAATCGCCATTCTAACTGGTGTGAGATGGTATCTCACTGTGGTTTTGATTTGCATTTATCTAATGACCAGTGATGATGAGCTTTTTTTCATATGTTTGTTGGCCGCATAAATGTCTTCTTTTGAGAAGTGTCTGTTCGTTTCCTTTGCCCACTTTTTGATGGGGTTTTTTTTTTTCTTGTAAATTTGTTTAAGTTCTTTGTAGATTCTGGTTATTAGCCCTTTGTCAGACATATTGCAAACATTTTCTCCCAATCTGTAGGTTGTCTGTTCACTCTGATGAGTTTATTTTGCTGTGCAGAAGCTCTTTAGTTTAATTAGATCCCATTTGTCAATTTTGGCTTTTGTTGCCATTGCTTTTGGTGTTTTAGACATGAAGTCCTTGCCCATGCCTATGTCCTGAATGGTATTGCCTAGGTTTTCTTCCAGGGTTTTTATGGTTTTAGGTCTTATGTTTAAGTCTTTATTCCATCTTGAGTTATTTTTTTGTATAAGGTATAAGGAAGATGTCCAGTTTCAGTTTTCTGCATATGGCTAGCCAGTTTTCCCAATATGATTTATTAAATAAGGAATCCTTTCCCCATTGCTTGTGTTTGTCAGGTTTGTCAAAGATCAGATGGTTGTATGTGTATGGTCTTATTTCAGAGTTCTCTATTCTGTTTCATTGGTCTATGTATCTGTTTTTGTACGAGTACTATGCTGTTTTGGTTACTGTAGCCTTATAGTATAGTTCGAATTTGGGTAGTGTGATGCCTCCAGCTTTGTTCTTTTCGCTTAGAATTGTCTTGGCTATTTGGGCTCTTTTTTGGTTCATGAGAATTGTAAAATAGTTTCTTCTAATTCTGTGAAGAATGTCATTGGTAGTTTAATGGGAATAGCACTGAATTCTTTTATAAATTACTTTGGGCACTATGGCCATTTTCATGAATTAATTCTTCCGTATCCATGAGCATGGAATGCTTCTCCATTTGTTTGTGTCCTATCTGATTTCTCTGGGCAGTGGTTTGTAGTCCTCCTTGAAGAGGTTCTTCACTTCGCTTGTTAGCTGTATTCCTATGTATTTTATTCTCTTTGTAGTAATTGTGAATGAAGTTCATTCATGATTTGGGTCTCTACTTGCCTGTTGTTGGTGTATAGGAATACTAGCGATTTTTGCACATTGATTTTGTATCCTGAGATTCTCTTGATGTGGTTCATCAGCTTAAGAAGCTTTTGGGCTGAGATGATGGGGTTTTCTAGATACAGGATCATGTCATCTGCTAACAACCATAATTTGACTTCCTCTCTTCCTATTTAAATACCTTTATTTCTTTCTCCTGCCTGATTGCCCTGGCCAGAAATTCCAGTACTATGTTGAATAGGAGTGGTGAGAGAGGCCATCCTTGTCTTGTGCCAGTTTTCAAGGGGAATGCTTCCAGCTTTTGCTCATTCAGTATGATATTGGCTGTGGGTTTGTCATATATGGCTCTTATTATTTTGAGGTGTGATCCTTCAATAGCTAGTTTATTGAGAGTTTTTGACATGAAGGGATGTTGAATTTTATTGAAGGCCTTTTCTGCATCTGTTGAGATAATCGTGTTGTTTTTGTGTTTAGTTCTGTGTATGTGAGGAATTACATTTATAGATTTGCCTGTGTTGAACCAATTTTGTATCCCAGGGATGAAGCCATCTTGATCGTGGTGGGTCAAGGTACCCTTATCAGTCTTAGGTTCAGTCTTTTTACATAATCCCATATTTCTTGAAGGTTTTGTTCATTCTTTTTTGGTCTTTTTTCTGTATTCTCTCTTCCTGTCTTAGACAGATGGTTTTGAAGCTCTGAGATTCTTTCCTCCACTTGGCCTATTCTGCTAGTGATACTTGTGGTTGCATTGTGAAGTTCTCGTGTTGTGTTTCTCACCTCCATCAGGTCAGTTATGTTCCTCTCTAAACTGAATAATTCTGGTTATCACCTTCTGTAATTTCTTTTATGATTTTTAGCTTCTTTGCATTAAGTTAGAATGTGCTCCTTTAGCTCAGTGTGGTTTGTTATTACCCACCTCCTAAAGCCTACTTTTGTCAATTCAGCCATCTCAGCCTTGGGTCAGTTCTGTGCCCTTGCTGGGGAGGTGGTGTTGTCATTTAGAGGAGAAGAGGCATTCTGCCTCTTTGAGTTTTCAGCGTTTTTGTGTTATGTTTTCTCATCTTTGTGGGCTTATCTACCTTTGATTTTTGACATTGCTGACCTTTGAATGGGGTTTTTGTGGGGTCTTTTTTGTTGATGGTGTTGCTTTCTGTTTGTTTTTAACAGACCACTCTTCCCTAGGTCTGCTGTGGTTTTCTGGGGGTCCACTCTGGACCCTGGTCACCTCAGTCTCTCCTGCACCTGGAGGTATCACCAGTGAAGGCTGCGAAACAGCAAAGATCGCAGCCTGTTCCTTCCTCTGGGAGCACCAGTCCAAGGAGGTACCGACTTGATGCCAGCTGGAACGCTCCTGTAGGAGGTGTCTGGAGACCCCTGTTGGGAGGTCTTGCCCAGTCAGGAGGAACAGGATCAGGGACTGCTTAAAGAAGCAGTGTGGCTGCCCTTTGGCAGAGCAGGTGTGCTGTGGTGACTGCCAGGAGTCTCCAGAGCCAGCAGGCTGGAAAGGCTCAGTCGGCTGAACTGGGGAGACAGCAGCTACCCCTCTCCCTGGGGACTTCATCCCAGGGAGAAATCAGAGTTCTGTCCATAGAACTCTGGCTGGAGTTCCTAAATTCCGATGGGCAGGCCCTGTTCGGTGAGGAGGGATGGATTTCGGTCTCACTTAAAGAAGCAGCCCGGCCACGATCAGTCACAGCAGCTGTGCTGTGTTATGGGGGACTCCTCCTGGTCCCTGGTGCCAGCAGGCTAGAGCGGCCAACTCAAACCACAGATAGAGTGGCTGCCCTACCCCGGGAACCCGGTCCATCTCCGGCTGCCTCCAGCCTGCTGCCGCTGGCCAGCTGGAATTCCAAGCCAATGGGACTTGTGAGGTGCTGTGGGAGTGGGGCCTCAGAATGATGTCACTTGGCTCCCTGGATTCAGCCCCCTTCCTAGGGGAATGCACGGATGTATCTTCCGCTTTGCTGGAATTCTCGGGGCAGAGGATGCAAAACTCCTGGGCTTTCACGCATGCCCCAGTGAGCCAGCGAGCATTCCGCCCAGACTCCACACAGCTCCGTGCTTCAGACCCAAGGCCATGGCTGAGCTTACCAGGGGACCTCCTGATCTGCAGGTTGCAAAGATCCGTGGGAGAAGCATGGTTTCCCGGGCAGAGTCGCACAATCACTCACCGCCTCCCTTGGCTGTGAGTGGGGTCGCCCCTAGCTCCGTGCCACACCTGGGTGGGCCATCGCCCCACTTGCTTTTCCTCACTCCCTGTGGGTCGAGCTGTCTGGCTAGTCAGTCCCAATGCAAGAACCTGGATACCTCAACTGAAGGTGCAGAATTCACTCGCAGTTTTTACTGCTCTCCGTGAGAGCCGCAGGCCACAGCTGCTTCTAATAGGCCAGCTTGGCCCCATCTAAAGTATGATTTCTTAATACATGAGATGTTTTAAATATGTAACAATATTTATCACAAATAATATTTTGTCTCAATGTGATATAAAAATTACTAATAAATCAATTCTGTGTTGGTTACCACAAAGCTATCTGGAAATGTAACATCTGCCATTTAGAAAATTTTTGTAGAGTTAATAGAACTTTACCTGAAGGGAGGCTGGCAATATGCATCATGATTTCAAATATTGTATTAATTGTTTTGTAATTTTGTGTTTTTTAAAACTAAACTTATTAAATTGGTTGTATATTACTTTAGGTAGCATTATTTGGTGATGAGAGAATAATATGCAAAATATAAGAGTTCCTTATTATAAAAATATCCTGTTTTATATTACTACCACTTCCTCTGAAAGTTTAAAATTTTAATTTTCTAATTAAAATATATGTGAAACCCCCTCTCTACTAAAAATACAAAAATTAGCCAGGCACGGTGGCAGCAACCTGTAATCCCAGTTACTCGGGAGGCTGAGGCAGAGGAATCGCTTGAACCGGGGTGGTGGAGGTTGCAGTGAGCCGAGATCTAGCCACTGCATTCCAGCCTGGGTGACAGAGTGAGAATCTGTCTAAAAAAAAAAAAAAAGTTATATTATGTTGAGATTAAAAAAATAAATGACATGATTTGTCTACAGATCTTTATTACTCTACCTCATTTACATTAAATTTATGAACAACTTAAATAATAACACACAGGGCTTTTATTATTATTATTGTGATAATTTCTTTGTCAACATCATTTTTACCATGTTGTATAAACAGCATTGTAAGACCTGTGACTGGTCATTGACAATATATACAATATGTGTATATTTGTACGCAGGATCTAGCTCTGTCATTCTTGCTGGAGTGCAGTGGCACAATCACAGATGACTCCAGATTCAAACACCTAAGGTCAAGCCAGTCTCCCACCTCATCCTCCCTAGTGGCTGGGACTACAGGCATATGCCGCCACAGTCGGCTAGTTTAAAAAGAAATTGTAGAGACAGGGTCTTGCTATGTTGCCCAGGCTAGTCTTGAGCTCCTGGCCTCGAGTGTTCCTCCAACACTGGCCTCCCAAAGTGCTGGGATTACAGATTTGAGCCACCATGCTCTGCCTGCTCATATATTCTTCAATAATGAGTTAAGAAAAACCTATCACCAGGCAGGATTTTTAGAGGTTTCCAAAACTGGAACATATGACTTGTGATCAAGCCCTTCCACTGTTTTCTGTCTTTTATCTCTGCAATAACAGTTCCGCTACTGTTTTCCTCAATGAGCTAAGAATTAAACGTCTTGAGATCATAAATGCCTATGTTTGTAAACATTGTGATTCTGCCTGCACCCCACGTTAAGTTAAATTGTCAGAGAAATTGAGATGCATTTTAGTTATTTGGTTATTATCTTATAATTATTCTTTTGGCATTTCTGCATTTCACAAGGTTCTTTTCATGGAAATATCTAGTTAGAAAGAATAATACTTTTCTAAAATTGTGAGCTCAGTTTCTCAGGTTGCCAACTATTGCCACTGCACTAACCAACCTTCCTTCATCTGTCACATGAAACTCTCATAATCACTTTATGTTGTTGATAACCAGTCACAGGTCTTACAGTGCCGTTTATAGAATATGATCAAAGTAGTGTTGACTAAGAAATTATCAATATAATAATAAAACAGCCCAGTATTTTATTATATAAGTTGTATATATATTTAATTTAAGCCAGACAGAGTACAAAGATCTGTAGACAAATCGTGCCATTTAAAAAAAATCTCAACAAATTTGACATTATTATGAAGATGAAGAAACAGATTTATCAAGCTCTATTTTCTTTAAATTATTTTTTTATTATACTCTCTTTTATTATATTATTTATACTCTTTTATTAGACTCACGTCCTCAGGTGCAGGTGCCGGGCCCTCCTCCAACAGTGATCTCCGGCTCCCTCCCCGCTCAGGGGCCACTCTGCTCTGATACGGGCTCTGATGCCGGCCTGCAGCTCCCCTGCTCTTGGTTTCTGCCTGGTGTCACCTTCTTCCACGACACCCAGTCCCAGGATGACTGACGCCCAGGGAGATCTGTCGCCTCTCCGCAGAGACCACGTGTGTTCACCCTCGGCAGCAACACGCTGCTCCTTCCTCAAGGTGTCCTGAGGCATTGTGCATTTTCACCATTTCTGGGATGTAAAGAAGGAGGAATATTTGTCAGATAGAGAGAATACCGGTTCAGATGGTTGGTGGCTCAGATAGAGGTGGGGTTTGTTCCAGCCAGCAGCCCGTCCTGAGAACCAGGCTGGAAGAAACACCCTTCCCTGTGGCACCACAACACCTACACCGAGGTGTCTGTGCTGCCTGGAAAGCACAGCGGGTCTCCCCAGTGCTGGGGTCATCCGGAGAGCCAAGCACCTTCCAGGGGGGCCTCGAAGTGGGGGCACAGGCCCCCCAGGGTGCCCAGGCCAGACCGCCTCCTCTCAGGTGGTTCAGCAAGAGCTTCCTTCTGCCTCAGATCCTTCCAGGGTGTGGACTTTCTTTTCTTATGATTCTTTTCTGACTTCACCTTACGTTACTCCTCTCCATACCTAGATGGTAAGCCCGGTGAAGGCAGGGACCCAGCCTCCCTCATTTGCAAAGCAACCACAGTCCCTGCCTTTGAGCTGGGCTGTGGGTGCCAAGCTGGAGAGCATTTCGCCCTCTCCCACTGCTGCTGAACAGAAACCACAAATTTAGTGGTTTAAAATAGCACAGATTCCTTCTCTTGCAGAGCTGGAGGTCAGAAGTCCGAAATGAGTTTCACTGAGCCAAAGCCAGGGAGTCAGCAGGGCTGGTCCCTCTGGAGGCTGCAGAACACCTGCTCTGCACCTCCTCTGACCTCTGCAGCTACTCGGCACCCAGGACAGCTGTGCGGCCTCTGCTGTGTCTGAGCTGCTGTTGTTCCATGGCCCTCTCTGTGAGCTTGCTGCCTCCCTCTCATAAGGGCCCTCTCATAAGTCGTCTGGATGACCCAGAACAACCTCCCAATCTCTAGACACTTATCCCGACTCCATCCATAGAGTGCCTGTTGCATGTAAGGTAACGTGCCCACGGGTTCGTGGGATTAGGATGTGCACACCTTTGGGGGCCTGATGTAGCTGACCATGCCCACATCTGGTGGGAACCCACCTTCAGGGTTTCTTCTCCTTGGTCACAGGCTACAGCCCAAGACAAATGTCCCAGAGCCTGGAGCAGGGCCCCCCTCCCCCACTTTCCCCAAAGAGGCTGGCGTGGGAACAAAGCCCCTGTGTGGTCAGGAGCTGGGAGGGCAAGACAACAGAACAACAGGACAAGAGGACAACAGAACAACAGGGCAACAGCCATCCCAGCTGGAGAAGATTCTCAGGGCTGAGGTGGAGGAGGTCGGGCCTCAGCCGGGCTCAGAGTGGAACTGCTGGTCCTCCTGTCACAGGAGGGAGGGGCAGTGGGACGGGAAGAGAGGGCCTTGAGATCAAGCCATGCCCTGCTGAAGCCTGGCAGAGGGGCTGTGCCTCTGGGCAGCTGGTGTGAGCTGTCGTCTCGTGCAGCTGGTCTAGGATGGGGCAGAGGCTCTGCCTTGACCTCTCCCACCCCTGGTGCCATTTGCCCCTCCACTCCAGGTGAGCACAGCTGGAGCAGCAGCTACCTCGAGGACTGGTGGCCTTTGAGGTTTTCCCGATGGACTATTCAGCTTCTACCAGCGGGGCCCCGTGACTGCACTGCCTCCTGGGAGCTGCTACTGGGAGAGGCAGCGGTACAATCCCCCCTGCCTAGAGTCGACAAGGGGCTTCCCCCACTGAGCTGAGACAAGGCCTTCTGTCTGCATCATGAAGCTGCGATCGCAGCTTCCTACAGCTATGAAACTCCCAGCTCAACCCACCCAGACTCAGTTCTGTTCCCTGAGACCTTCAGTCACAATGGCACACCTCGCCTGGTGTGGAACCTCCTGCTGTTTACAGTGATGAGCCCAGGGTGAGCAGAGACAAAGCACCAAGACACGCTCGTCAGAGAAGGGCTGGGCAGGACAGACACAGGCGGACAGGGTGGCCAGAGAGGCCGTGAGAAACGGACAAAACAGAGGGGGTGCATTTATCATCCCTTCCTCAGCACCTGACGCCAGGCAGGCCCTGTGCCTCCCCAGTCCAACTCTTCCAGGCATGGCAGATGCTTGATAATTCCTGCGACTGACCCAAAGGCTTCACAGGTCAGATTCCAGCCAGGCCGAGCCTGTGAAAAGACTTTCTTCAGAAAGTCCAGACCATGGCGATCATGGCCATTAAGGCTGGAAATGTTGGAAGACCTGCAGGGCACTGGGCTTGTACCTTGGCCTCTTGGACATGCCCCCTCCTCCCTCGTCTCTCCCCAGGGAGAGTCAGTGATGGTTCACCTGGTGCCAGGCTGTTCCCCATCCAGCAGGAGCCATTAGGGAGGAGCAGGTGGGCTGGGCCCCACAGACTGAGAGAGTCAGGTCCCCAGCCCTGGAGAAGGGCATTTTAATGAGTGTATTTGGCCAATGGCCAGTCACTGAGGCTGTGATCCTCCCCTGTCTCCGAGAAGCCCCAACATGGAAGGCTCAGGATAGAATATCCCCACGACCCTGCTCACCACCCTTCCCATGAGGCTCTGTCATGGGAGGCTGGATGCAGTGTGTCTTTAAAATGGTCTGCCCATCTCAGTCTCAAACTTTGGAAAGGGTTAACATAGCATTCCATGACCAGGATGCTGGGACTTTGAAGTTTCCCCTGCTAAACTGGACAGAGCCTCAAAAGAGCTCTTCCTCAAGCTGATTTAACCAGTCATTGGGTGGCACAGGCCATCAGCACTGAAGGCCGGCAGCAGAGAGATAAAGGGATGCAGCATCACTTATGCAAAAGCAGAATAAGATATTACCCCTTGCAGATGGCTTCTGGCATTTACCTTGTTGGATCTCATGTTAGCAACGACCGCCAACACTTCTGAATGGCAACACTTAACGAGAGTCTTTTCATTCTCCATGAAAAGAGTTGTCACAGAAAAATTTAAAGGGAAAGTGGCTTTAAACTGCCCATATCAAGTAGGAGTCTCCGGGGCTTGGCTGAGCCAGCGTTCCTCCTTTTAACTCTTCCATGTCGTTAGAGAGCCAGAGTTTGAAAGCCCTGGGACAGAAGAGGAGGAAGAAAAGGAAGACGAGGAGGACAAGGGGGAGGGAGAGGACAAGGAGGAGGCAGAGGAGGAGAATTAGGAAGAGGAAGAGGGGGATGAGGAGGAGGAGAGGGAGGAGGACAAGGAGGAGGTGAAGGAGGAGGAGTCGGGGAGAAGGAGGAGGAGTTGGGGAGAAGGAGGAGGAATCGGGGAGAAGGAGGAGAATAAGGAGGGGGAGAAGGAGGAGGAGAAGGAGGACTAGGAGGAAGAGGAGAATGACAAGGAGGGGGATAAGGAGGACAAGGAGGACAATGGATGAGGAGGAGGGAGAGGAGGAGGAGGGGTGGGAGAAGGAGAAGGGGGACAAGGGGGAGAAGAAGGAGTGGGGGAGATGGAGGGGCCAGAGGAGGAGGCAGCCGTGGTGGCTTGGGCGAGGCGTTGGATCCAGGGCCTCCTTGGCTGTTGCCTCCCTCTAGACCTCAGTCTCCCGTCCTGTGAAATGGGCAGGCACTGAGGACCCTGTAGCATCCCCAGCCCATGAGTGCTCACCCCCTTGATGAGCAGCATCACTAGCATGTAGAAATACGTTGGATTTAAGATATTTCCAAGCCATGGTCCTAAGTGGTGGCCACATTCCAGGCTGTCCCCAGAGGCGATGAGGATCCGGTTGCTTGGCATAAGCCTCACTGTCGTGTTGCCAGCCTTTCCACCTGCACCCTGGCGGGCGTGCAGGGTGTCCCACTGAGATTTTTCAGTTGCACTTCCTGATCACTACGAGGCTGAGCAGCTTTTCTCAAACTCATCAGCTATTTGTGTATCTTCCAAAGTGTTTGCTCAAGTCTTTGCCCGTTTTTTAGAATTGGGCAGTAGTCTGTTGATTGCTGGGTCTCCAGAGTTGCTTACACATTCTTCATGGAGGTCTTTCATCAGGTGTCCCTGTTGTGTGTATTTTCACCCAATGACTTCCATTTTCTTGAAGTCCAATTTATCAATCTCCCTCCTTCCCCTGTGGCTGGTTTTTTAAAATGAAGTTTTTTTATTTTAGAGCCATTTCGAGTTTACAGAATTGTTATAAAGATAGTGCCGGGTTCCCATATACTTCACACAGTTTGCTTATTATTAATGCCTTACATTATAATGGTACATTTGTCAGAATTAGCAAACAAACGTTGCTACATAATCATTGACTAAAGCCCACAGTTCATTTGGTTTGTTCTCGGGTGGCCGTTTTGTGGGCCGGGATCCCATCCAGGATCCCATCCAGGATCCCGTGTGACATTTGCTTGTCACATCTCCCTAGGGTCCTCTGGGCCGTGACAGTTTCTCAGACCTTCCTTGTTTTCTGTGATCTTGAAAGTTCTGAGAAGCTGGGCTCAGGCATCTGGGGGAGTGTCTGTCTGCCGGGGTTCGTGTGAAGTCTTTTTTTCATGATCAGATTCCGGCTGTGGGCTCCTTGGAGGAAGAGCAGAGGTGAGGCGCTTCTCATGCCACCACATCAGGGGTCCTGCCTCGGCCCGGCTCACTGCTGATGTTGACCTCGGCTACCTGGCAGAGTGTGCTGGCCAGGTTTCTCCAGCATGAAGTCACTCTCGTTTCCCTCGTAAGTTATACTCTAGTTTATCAATCTTCTAGTTTATGGCTTGTGTCTTCTCTATGAAACCCTTGCCTAACCTCTCAGTTTCGAAGGTATGAGAAGGAGGAGTCAAGATTCTTTTTTCTTTTCATGTGGATATCCAGTTTTGTTTTATTTATTTATATATTTTATATTTTAGAGACAGGATCTCACTCTATCGCCCAAGCTGCGATCACAGCTTACTGCAGCCTGAAACCCCTGGGCTCAAGGGATCCTCCTGCCTCAGTGTGCACCTCCGTGCCTGGCCTACATCTCTGTGTAGAGACACAGAGTCTTATGACGTTGCCCACGCTGGTCTCAAACTTCTGGGCCCAAGCAATCCTCCCACCTTGGCATCCCAAAGTCCTGGGACTACAGGCATGAGCCCCACTACGCCTGGCCTGATATCCAGTTATTTCAGTACCATGTTTCCCCCTGTGGTTTTGGCCTGCTTGTTGAAAATCATGGGATGGTGCCTGTCAGCCTATTTCTGTAATCTCTGCTCTATGCCAGTGAGCTATTTCTTTATGGCCTTACTGGTGCAAGATTTGACAACTCTTCTGATGGTGCCGTTCCTTTCCAGATGGCTGTGGCTGCCCTTAGACCTTCACTTCTCTATGAACTTCTAAATCATCCTGTTAATTTAGAGGAAAAGTCCACAGGGACTCCAATTGAGATTTCATTGAATGATTAGATCAATTTGTGAAGAATTAGACATGGTATATTTAGAGATATATCTCTCAGATAATTTTTGGTGTAGAGGTTTTCACATATATTGTGAAATTTATCCCTAAGTATTTGATTTTACTATTATAGATAGTATTTTTGACTTCATTTTAAATTAGTCATCAGCAGTATATAGAAATACAGCCTATCTTTATATGTTGACCTGGTGTCCTGTGATGTTTTAAATTAGTCATCAGTAGTATATAGAAATACAACTGATCTTTACATATTGACTTGGTGTCCTGTGATGTTGCAGAATTCACTTATTGGTTCAAGTTGATTTTTTGTGGATCCCTTAGGATTTGCCACCTCATTTCACCTGTAAATGAGGATAGTTTTACTTATTTCTTTCCAATATTTATACTTTTCTTTTCCTCATCTCTTTGCACTGGCTGGAACCTCCCAGCCCAATGCTCACTAGAAGAGATGAAAACAAAAACAGAAACCCTTCCCTTTCTCCCCGTTTTAGGGGGAGTTATTGAGTATTTCATCATTTGTTATGATGTTGGCTATAGAAAAAAAAAAGTCTGTTTTTAACAGTGCTAGCCACTGGGAGAGTAAGCACCTGCCCTTATCTGAAGGCAGGGACTTCTGAAGGCCTCTGTGCTGAGTTCCAAATGACTTCCAGGTCACAATTAGCTCCTGGATGTTTACAGACAGAGTTGCAGAGACGTTCCTGGGTCCCATGACCCTCGTTGGACCCCAGGCATGCAGAGGGGAAAGCAGCATCCTCAGGCCCAGCCCAGGCGAGTGTCCTGCCTCTCTCACTGTCAGGGACACCAGGAGCTTGCAGCAATGGTCCTAACCGCTCCCTGCTCCTTCTCCACTTTATGGTCCTTACAACTAGGTGATCCCCTGCTCCAGGATCTCAATCATAAAGGGTAGAGAAGCATCTGCGTGAGGCAAAGGTGGACCTGAAAGCCAGGCCAGTGTTCGTCCCCACTCGGCCTTTGTTGCTCTGTCTCGTCCAGGCTAGGACCTGCATGTGTCAGGGAAGCAGCTGGCTGAGCTCATGGGGGCAGAGAACCACCAATGAGGTGGGGGAAGAAGGGTCACGCTTCATTTAGAGGGGCACACAGTGCAGAGGAGGCCAAGCCTAGCCAGGCAAGACGTGCATCCTGAGTGAGGCGGGTAAGACCACCTGCATTCAATGTGCCCCCTGTGTCTCCCCACTTCTCAACTCTTGTCACACACTGGACAAGCAGAGACAGGAAAGAATCACTCCGTGTCATTGAATAAACTGGTTTAGAGCTCTGTCTGATAAAACTACAGTGAACAGAGAAGAAAAGAGCCATCGCGTTTTCACGTGTGGCCGGCCTGGGTGCAGCCTTCTGAGGGATCCCTGGAAGCCTCAAAGCTGTTTCATCTCGGGCGAGGTTTGGGGTCCTCTGATATTTGTGGATTCTCTACCATATGGGAGACCTAAAGGCTCAGAACATGAAAAGTGTTGGGAGCTTTAAACTACTATCTTCTCTTTTCCTTTGGTATAATGCACGAGAGCAAAATGTACAAACGGATCTCCTTATATTCAAGGTACAGACCAAGGAATGAAACCCAGGGAGCAAAAGGCACGGCAGACAGCAGCAGGGCCAGGGCTGTGTCCAGTCCTCTGAAGACTGCGGGGTCTGCATAAAGGAGGCCCTGTCTCTTCCCCTTGGGCTGCTCGAACCACACAAGCTGATGTCAGGAGTGACTAAATCTACCCTAATTAATAGACCATTTGACTCAAGTCTGAGCTAGGAAGCAAACACACAAAAGGGGTTCCTATAAAAACACCAGCAGAGGCGTGGAGCCGTTTCGGCGTGCTGTGGAGAGAGCTAACTCCTGGCTGCTGATCTCTTGAGGCCACGTGAGGGCCCCCCTCCCTGGCTTGGCCACCCACACCTCCCCTGGGCCGGCACCTTCTTATCTGGATGAAAGCAATTCCCACCTCACGGGAAAGTTTTAGGCAACATTGTTTATTGCCTGCAAATCTCCCTGTGTGGTCTTGCTGAGGGACCAGCAAAAGCAAGTTGCTTCTGCTCTCTGTTGACTTTGGCCAGAGCATCTTTTGACTGAGATTTGACTGAATCACCACCGTCTGACAGTTATGAAGGATTTGATTTATTCTGGACACCGGCCTTCTCCAAGCTGGTGGCTAATAAGGTCCTATGAATGTTGTTAGCTGTTGACTGTGGACCACATAATTTCTCAGATTCTGCACCTCTTTGGAGCACTAGCTGGGCGCTGCCTGGAGGAACTTTCTCATGGTGGAAATGTCAACAGATGGTTAGCTGTTCAGGGGCACCCCATCCACCAGGCGAGCTCAAAGCAAATGTCCTTCTGGAGTGAGTGCATGAGTCCAGGAAGGCCAGGCATGTCGTTGTGTAGGGCCATGAGTCCACGAGGAAATGAGGTGCCAGTCCCCCTGCTCCTCACAGGGATAGACCGGGACTCACTTCCGACCAGTTAATTAATGGACTGGAGACTTGTGACCCACCTGAGGACCAAGTCCTCGCAGGACACTGGGTAGAATGATAAAGACAAGCAGTGGCATGACCTCTAATGCCAGAGTAGGAACGTGTGCCCCATGCCCACCCGGGTCGCTAGGCCTTTACTGCAGCCGAGGCACTGCCTCTGTCTGGTCTTGGGTGCTGAGAGGCCGGGACCTGCTGCGGCCTGTTGGATGCAGCTCATGCTCCCTCCCGAGTCTGTGGCAGAGAGCAGTAGGGGCTCAGGGCAGCAGAAGGCCCAGGGAGAGGAGGGGGTCCTCCCTGTCCAGGTGAGAGCCTTTGACCATCCCAAGAGCCGGGGTGCCCAGTCGTCCTTCAGCACTGGGCCTTCCAGCAGGCCAAGGGAGACACTATCAGAACCTCATCATAGGCTGTTTAAGGCTTAAGTGAGGTTGACAGGTGAAATGCTGAGAACAGTGGCCCCTTGCAAGCGTTTTATGGAGGTAGTGTATTCTCTGTGTGGATGCAGGTGGGGAGAAGTGGAAGGAAGGACGCACGAGAGCCAGCCTGCGACACCTAAGGACAGAAACACCTCCCTCAGCCCAGCCGGCTGCTGACTCCATGCGAAGAGGGACACCGACCCTTACAATCTCACAGTGTCCTGCCCCTGCCCCTGCCCCTGTGAGGTGGGAATCATTATGCTTATTTCACAGACGCAGAAACTCAGAGGGCTTAAGGGTGATTGAAGGTTGCTCCAGGCCTGGACTCGAATCTGTGTCTTTGCTTCCTAGGGCGATGCTCCTTCCATCAAAACCAGAGTGTCCCAGCTCTAGATTCCCCACCCAATCCCCATGGCCCCCACTCACCACCTCCTGTGGCTGTCTCAGCACCTCCATCGTGAATCCGTGCATCCCTTCAGACGACTGCCTTCCGATGCGGCCCCTGACCTGCACCCCCTCCCATCACTGAATAGGACTCCTTTTCTCCTGGATTTCCTGTAGGAAATTTCAAAATGCTCTCCAGGTTTTCTGTGGGTGGATTCTCTCTCTGGATCTTTCTAAGTGAGTCCTGTGTTTCACCACAGCTCCCCCCACACAGTTGAGCAGCTGTACCGTGGGGAGGCTTGGTCCTCTTGCCCCATTTGTGTGATGTCTATTGCAGTCATGCCAGGGTCCTGACGTCAGAGCTCCACCCTGACATGTGCTCATGCCGGTTTACAAACTCTCCCAGGACCAGGCCCCCATCCCTCTTCCAGGACAGGCTCTGGAGCTCCAGCTATTAACAGAAACATTCCAGCCAGCATCCCCAGCGACCCTCAGCCTCCCACGCCGCTGTGTCTTCATGACCACAGCCTGGCCACCACACAGCTCCCCCTCGAGGACTGTGACCACTTCCAGCCATTGTCTCTTTGGGCCATGCGGGATATATTCCCATTTCCCCATTCAGCTGGGAGATTTTACCAAGGGATTTTTCTCTCCTGGCTCCAATGCCAGCAAGACCATGAACAGCTGTGTCATTTTCACTTTCAAGCCTCAGCTTCTGTACATAAAAGAATACAGTTAATAATGATTTCCTCCTCCTGAGTTGCTATCGAATGAAATGAGGTTATGCACACACACGGCAAGGACCTGCGTCTGGCAGGAACAACATCTCGTTCATCGTCACGAGTGCTTCCCCTTGTGTCTTCCCTCCTGTGTGTGAGATGGGGGCTCCCAGGCCTCCCCAACAAAATACACTTTTCCAGCTTTTAGAGGCCAGCATTCCTAACTCCTTGCAATAAATCCCTATCATAGTACAAATGTAAACACATCACGGTATAACTCAAATCAACTGCCCCTGATTTTGCCATGTTTCAACCTTTTGTTGCCATCGGCCTCCTAAACAATGGCTTTAATGGAAACACAGGTATGTAAGCTTGGAAGCTGCTCAAACATCTGAGTCATTCAGAAATAAAACACTTGTTGAGCAGCTAGTCTGTGCCAGTTGTATTAGAGTTCTCCATAGAAACAGAACCAATAGGATGTACACAGAGAGAGGGATGAGCAGGAATTTTTCATGTGACTTGGCTCATGTGATTATGGAGGATGAGAAGTCCTGCTGCCATCTACAAGCTGGAGAACCAGGGAAGTTGCTGGTGTACGTCCCGGAGTCCAAAGGCCTGAGAACCCCGAGTTCTGATGTTTGGGGGCAGGAGAAGATGGATGTCTCAGATCCAGAATAAGGAAAGAATTCACCCTTCCTCTGCCTTTTTGTTCTATCTGGGCCCTCAGCCTTTGGGGAGCGTGGATTTTCCCACTCACTCCCCTGATTCAAATGCTGATCTCTTCTGGAAACGCCCTCTCAGGCGCACTTAGAAAGCATGTTTTATCAGCTATCTGGGTTTCCCTCAGCCTAGTCAAGTTGACACCTAAAATTAACCAACCACTAGGCAATGCACTACCTAGGAATACAGAGCCAAGGAGGGCGGGATCTTCCCAGGCCTCAAGGTCTCTCATCTGCTGAGCAGACAGGCATGAGGCAGACTCTCACAAGTAATGAGGTTGGTGGCAAGGACTACAAAAGAGAAAGACCTCTGCCAAATGCAAAGTTGCACTAAGTGCTAAGATAAACCCAAATCTGAACTGCAGAACTGTGGGCTGTGATGTTCACCCCCACCCAAGTGGCTATGTTGCCACATCGGCTGCAAACACACGTGAATTTGGGCTGGGTATCAGGAAATGAAGTCATTCTGGGAATGGAAATTGAAGTTTCTTTAGGGAACTGTGAAAATCTGCATTGGAAAACAGATACTGCGAGAGAACAGGTTCTGCAGACCAGCAAACAGTCCAGACACTGGATTTCTTCCCTGCTCGCTGTCTGGCCGCAGCAGGGGACAGACAGGCAGAGCGGGCGTGTGTCAGAAGGTGTTTTCTAGGGGAAAGAAGGAATAAAAGAAGACCCAGAGGAGATGCAGTGACATTGGGAGGTTCAATAATTTCCCTGCAGTTGAGGGCCCCTGGACCACTGTTTCCCCAGCAGAGACAAGGTGGTGGCTGGCATGGAGGGAGCTTCCTTAGAAGAACCCAGAACCCGTGTATTCCCCTGAGAAGCGTCATGAAACCTCTCAGATCTCTAATCCCTGCACTGCCCTGGAGCATCAAGGCCCAGCGCTGCTGTTGAATATTGTGAATGTGGTTTTTCCTGACTCACCATAGAGTCAATAATTTCCAGTTTAAAATTGTTAAATATCCTTCCAGATTATGCCATTATCCAAGAAAGTCTTAGCTGGCTAAACTGGAGCAAGCAATTCTTTTAGGAATCTGGAGAGCAAGTTTATTGTGAGAATCTTGCAGCTGTGACAGACAAATGTCCACAGAGAGAAGAGACGCCTTTGAGAGGTAGTGAGCCTGATAACTGAGCACCGGGAGGGCTGCAGAGCCCCTGGGGGTGGCACAGTCCAGGATCTCCCCACCTGCCATCCTCTGAGGTGGATGCTCCTGCCTCTGAGACAGGCAGCCCTCTGCTTGCTGGCTGCTCCCCAGCATCTGTTTCTGACTCTCTGCGCAAAACGGACAGGAAAGTTGAGGGTCCCTGCCCAGTGTCTGTCTCCAGGCACAGAGTCTCAGTACCAGCTCTCAAAACTCTGTCTGCTCACCTGGGCAGCTCCAGGAGGCTGGGGAGGAGTCAGGAGTGCAGCCGCCCCTTGAAACTTCCCAGGATGGCTGGTTTGGGGGTTTATCACATTATTTTTCTCCCTCTGGTTTTAGCCACTGTAGGCCAGTTTGTTCACAGATTTTTACCAACCTTGGCTCATTTCATTACCTTATCAGAGGTGGGAATTCTGAGGTCCCTAAGCCAGAGGCTTTCAGGGATGTGGCTCCCTCTGCCGCCCTGGCAGGGAGGGCGCAGGGGTCCCAGGTGGAGCCTCTGACCTAGAGCCTTTGGCTCTAGAGCCTGGAGCCTTACCGCAAGGCTGCCTGTGGGTTTGGCGTCGTCCTGGAGCCCAGGCTGCTGGTTGTCTGGAGACAGCCTCCCCGTAAGATTTCTCTGAGACAAGAAACAATTATGCAAATTATCCTAATTCTGTTTTAAAGAATAGAGAGATTGATTGCAGAGACAAACCATTTAGGCAGGCAATGTAGAAGGTGTTTCCATGGCTAATCTGCCTTCAAAGGAGAGGGATTTTGTTTGTAAACTTCAGACCCAGAAAATTGATTGTTCTGTCAACTTTAGATAATTATCTGTCCTCCCTGAGGCCCTAAGCTTAGCAGAAATGTTCTTTCTCTGAATCAGTACTCAGCTTTGGATCTCTGTTGGGTTCCCTGTAGAGTGCTAAATCAGATTCCCCCAAAGCAGTGGATCAGGAGCCTTCCTCCAGCCACAGTGCCCATCCTGCCTGCAGAAGAATGGACAGAGGGACGGGAGGGCTGCAGAGCTGGCACTGTGTCCCTGGAGGGGCTGGTGGGGACTCACTGTTCGGGGGACAGGGGAGGCAGAGTCCACACTCAACTGCTGCGTGGAGATGGGCATGAAGGGCAGGCAGGTCTGGCCTTGGCCTTGCGGTTTGTTTCCATTAAAGACCTTCAAGACCAGAAGGGACCAATAGGGCCGGACTATGCAGGGAGAGAAGAGGTTCTAGGGAACTGAGTTCCGAAGTCTTCGTCTTCTCACTGTGCAGTGGGGTTAGCCTATAAAGCAGGCTGCTTGTCCTCGGGAGAGCTCATTGTGGAGAAACATCACTGGACAGAGCCCCTCCTTATCTGCATCAGACTCCTCTGGTCTCCCCGGTTGCCTTTTTCTCTGCCCCTAAGGGCATCTGTCCCTGGAGAGGCTCTCAGGACAGTATCCTGGACACCCCCTGCCTGGACACCCCTTGCCTGGCACCCCTCCTCTCCACAATGTCGTCAGAGAGCTCCACCTGCCCTTCTAGCCCCCTGGTCCAGCACTGCTGGTCATGAGGTTTGGGCCCTGTGACCTGCCCAGATCCAAGCTGTGGGGAAAGTTTGCTGAGACCAGTTTGGGGAACAGAGGGCCTTGTTGTACCATTTGTTCTGGGCACAGGGGACCTCCTGCATCGTCTATCTCCTCCATGAGATGCTAGTTTCAGGGATTCCTTGGGGACACTGGAGAGCAGGGCTGGCTCAGGCAGGGGCCTGACCATAGTCCAGACAGTGCAGACCCTACCTGAGGTGCCACACGGGCCCTCATCAGTCTTCTCTTCACACAGTGGAGTCACTCCTGTGCCTCCCCTGTCTGCACTCCATTGAGCCGGGAAAGGCCTGCAGTAGCCAATGCCCACATTTGAGTTTCAAATGTGAATATACCCAGGGATTGCAATTTACCAAAAGATGAAGGAAAAGGCCTCTCCCAGTACTTGGTCAACATTATTCTGTGGTATTTTTCAGATGAAATTAGCATTTAAGCCAGTATACTTTTAGTAAAGCAGATTATGCTCCATAATGTGGGTGGGTCTCATCCAATCAGTTGAAGGCCTTAAAGGAAGAAATACTGACCTCCCAGGGGAAGAGGGAATTCTGCCCCTGGACTCAAGCCACTCTTCCTTGGATTCTAGCCTCTGTAATCACATGAGACAATTCTGGACATCTCCTTCTCTCTTTTCTGTTTCTCTGGAAAACCCTGACTAATGCAATTCTTGTTAAGCTGCTTTTAAGAAGTGTGAAGAAAATGTTAAAAAGATGTAACTAAGAATTTTGAGTGGATGATCTAATTATTTCACACTGGCTGAGATCTCCCTGATGTTGACATTGCAATGACACTGTGCACTTCTTGGCGTAAGAAAAAGTGCAGTCTCAGTATCCCTTCCACTAAATAGGAAGGCAAATTGCCATTTCCCGAAAAGTCCAGAATACTAAGTAGGTTGACGAGTAACTCTTGAAGTTACATAAGACAAATCAGTTGCAACAGAGGATCATAAACCCCTCGTGTACGGAAGGAAAACAAGTTTGTCAATGTGCAAACTGTAAGTCTAAGTTCCTACTTCTGTAAAAAGTAGAGTTTCCTCTTCAAAGACTTTCCTTCCCATCTCATTAGAAATAAATAGTAACTTCTCTTAGAAGCAAAATTTATTCAAAGACCTGTGCTAACATTCTTAAATATCTGCTAGCCCTAATAAAGAAATCAATGTACTTTATGTTCTTAGCTCCCACAATTTAGCCTAAATATTTGCCCTGGCATGCTTATACTAGTCCAAGCAAGCTTTAGGTCATTGCCTGTTCCTCTTCTTTATTCGAAGGTGTTTTTACTTTTTTCAGCATTCCACAAGTTATTTCCTCCTTCCTTCGTTCTCCTCTGCCTTTTCCTCTTTAAAAAAGTTCTAAATTGCTAGCCAATCGGGACAAATACAGAATGTGAGGTCCCGTTCCAGCCACTGGAAACTGGACACAGCAGTAGGGTGGATGCATCAGGTTATAAATGACCCTGTCTCCTTTGCTCAGTATACTGTTGTGGCAAAACTGCTGGCGAGTGTACACTTTCTGCAGAAATTAAAAAAAAATAAAAATGGCCTTGCTGAGGAAATTAAATTTACATTCAAGTGCTATTTCTTTACCGCACTGGGAACAAGCATTTCAAACAATTTCAACCCTGCTGGACCGCATCAAGTGAGGGCCGGCATGGAAAAGCGGCCATGCCGAGGTGCCCCGGAAGCAGCCTCCGGAGTGTGCCTCAGAGTTTCTGGCCATTTCAGCTAAGACTTTTCTTCTGACAGACTAGAAGTGAAAAAAAGAATTATTTATTTTGCTGGGAAATGTGACAAAAGGTTAAAATTCTACTAGTTCATAAAATATTTGAAGCTAACTTTGTTTTTATAAATAAAATTGTATTTACAATTTAAGTTTTAGTTCTCATCCTTGCTGTTATAAAAGTTATTCTAAGTTATGTCAGTCTTTGAGGGTAAATGTAGAGTATTTAAAATAGCTTATATTTGGAAAACTGAACAGTGTTTGTTGTCATGATTTTACTTTGTTCTTGACCACATTGGTCCCAGAGAAAGTCAAGGTCTTCACCCACGGATTCAAGATTCTTGTGGCAGCTGCTGAATTCTTTTCCAACAATGCTTGGGCCTCATCAGCATCATGTTTGTGCACTACCCCAGCCCCAACCACAGACATGGGCAGGAGGAACAGAGCTCTACCGTGTAGCGTCACTGCCAGTAAGAGTCTGACTCTCCCATGAAGCATTACTCTTCCTCTGCATGTATCTTAGAATTTCAAAAGCCATTTGGCCTCCATTTCTTTAGATTGTGGATAAGATCCATAAACTTGTACTGGGGTCACTGTTCCTCCAGCCTCTTTAGCACGTATCTGCAGTCTCATTTCCAGGCTGTTTCCTCTATGGGCCACTGCCTGCAGAATTCCCAGATGAATCCATTGCCCATTCCCTGTAGCCACATCTCCAAATCCACAGCCGTTCTCAGCAGCTGCCTGCACACTCACATCCCAGAGGTCAAGTTGCCACAGCTGGTGTGTGTTTCCAGCCACTAGGCAACCCCAGGTCTTCATCTGAGCACCCAGGGCCAGAAGTCTCACCCTGTCCCCCATACCATCCCTTCCCAGCCAGCCACAGTTTCCTTCCTTCTGTTGCTCACACAGTGCTCTCAGCCCCAGATGCCCTTCCTGACACTTCCTCCCAAGGAAACCCAAGTCCTCCGTCAGGGTCCATCCAAATGTCCACACCCTCTGGTAGCCTGCCCAGCCCCAGAGGCTCCCCTGAGCTCCCTTCCCCCATTAGAGCCTACAGAGGCAGTGCTGCCCAGCAGACATCTCGGCTGGGAGTCAAACAGAGCAAGGCTATTTTGGTCCCTCTCTCCACTCTATGTGACCCTGAAATGTGCCCTGGCCTTAGGAAACCTTCAGCTACATCAGAGAACGTGAGTATGCATGTGGTTTGTATAACACAGGCAAGACATGGTTTTTAGATACGTTCAGAATAGATAGTTACAGAGAACAGGTATGTTACATGTGGGAAGGAAGAGACACAAGGGCCAAGAGATACTTAATATGCATGAGGCTCCTGGGCACTAAATGTTCAATTCACAATGTGCCTTTATACAAGAGACACCTAAACATGCAGAACCATGGGGCCTTTGTTCACCACCATTCCTGGTGCCCATTCTGGTCCCATGCGTCCTCTGCCCAAGAAACACGTAGAACCCATGGCAGTGCGACAGCTGCTTCTTGGCAACTCCACCATGATCAGGCACACTTGTCCCATGTCTGTCCCGTTGAGCCGGTGTGTGTCATAAGCCCTTCAGCTGTGAGCACTCTTGCCCAGACCTCGGCTCTGGTCCTCGTGGTCACACCTGAGTGGGTGAGGTTGACTAGCAGAGAAAGAAGAGAACCGATGAATGTTGACAGCACAGGAATCAGGTCATACGGCCCTCCCATCTCCTTCCCTCAGCTTCTTGCTGTGTTTTACGAATGGATTTTATAAACCTGTGATTCGAGCATCCTCAGTTGCTTCTCGAGCCTTTCCGCTCCATGAACTCTGGGACAGCTTGCCTGGTACTGCAACTGGAGGACATCAATCATTGCATCCAGAGAGCTTCCCACATGACAGTCTGTGAGCAAGGGACTTCGCCTCCCTGGATGGTGGTTTTCTTTTATGTAAAAGATGTGATCGTAGTCTCTATTTCTCAAGGGTGCTGTGAGAAACACACAGAATAAGGCCACGTGAAAGTGTGTGGCAGGTAGCGGATGCTCAGTAACGTGAAGCCTGCCCTTCCCGTAGCCTTTCTCTTCCTCCACTGGGTCTAGACTTCACATTGTCCATGGTTCGAGATCCTTGGTTCATCCCGAGTCTTATCATCATCCCAGAAGCTTGGAGGGAGCTCCTGGGGAAATCCAGCTTCACGGTCCCACACTGATCACTTCCCCTGGGCATGGCCTGGTAAATGCAGCTCAGATCCGCTCCCCAGGCAAGTCAAGGAAGTTGCTGCCCAGAAACCAAGTGAGGACATTTACAAGAACTGGCAGCAGCAGCAGCAGCAGCAGCAGCAGCAGCAGCAGCAGCAACTGGATTTGCTTTTTCACCAGAGGATCCAGATTTCCCTGTGGCCTCGCAAACAAAAAAGAAGGAAGACGGAGCAGCACAGTCATCCCTTTGTGAAAAAGGCATTCAGGTAACTGAGTGACTCAGCAAGCCTGGGTCTTGGGGAAATTACGAATACCTGGTTGAAGGGCAGTCCTCAGGCAGAGCCCCTGAGACCCGTTGAACTCTAGAGTGTGGGAGCAGAGGAGATTCAGGGCCTGCCCAGGGGCAGAGTGCCCCCAGGACTCGCCCTGGCTCAGTTAAGGACTCCCCTCAGGATCTGCAGAGGTGCAAGGCAGGGTGCAGCTCTGCCTGGACTGAGCTGGAAATGCAGCCGTGTGGCTGAAGTGGCCACTTCCTGCTTTCTGTAAAGCAGCCACGGGGACCTGTGAACAGGTAAGACCCTTACTCTTGATTACTGAAGAACTAGAACCCAGGCTCCCTTGACCTTCTCTCCAAAAACCCAGATGACACGAGGACCCTCTCCCAGCTGAAGGGGCAGATTCATGCTTTAGAGTGTGGGGAGTCAGCGTGGGGGCACGTGAGTGTTTAGCTTAGGTGTGGGCCTCACAAAAGAGTCAAAACAAGCCAGCCAGGACTCCAGCAGCCTTCATTGTGTGAGAGATGCCAGCACTGTGGCCACAGCCTGACAGCTGCGCAGGCCACATAATGTGTGGGGCCGAGTGGAAAACGTGGGTTTTTTTTTGTTGTTGTTGTTCAAAATCATGAGCTTCCAGGGGCGGCAGCAGAGCTTTAAACTACTCTGGGGCCCTTCTGAGCACAGGACTTGGTATGACTGCACAGGGATACCTGGCAGGCCAGGTGCAGGGACAGAGCGGTCTGCCCAGAGGCCAGCAGGTCCCCAGTCAGTGTCTGGCACCAGCTCCCTTCATGACCTGGGCTGGCTCAGTTCCACGGGACTCCCAAGGCTGGAGGCTTCCCTGGAACATCATCCTCAGGGATTTCCCAACAGGAGCAGCCTCTGGCTTCAGATCTGTCCTTGTTTGACTCATAAATTATCACTCAGACTGAGAAAATTAACACTCAGTGATTCCTGAAAGGGTGCCCAGTGCAATAGATAATTTTCAAAGTGAGTTCATCGGGGGATTTAATAGCCAGGCAATGTCCATTAAAACAGCGACAAACATGGGGAGAAAAGGAATAGTTCCAACTGGAAACTCATGCTGGCTTGACAGTTGTTCTCAGGGAGCAGAACAGAAGTGGGCATTTTCATTCTGGTTACACCATCAGCGATACCTCCACGGAGCCTCTCAGCTGGTTCCTCCTGGGTCTGGGCCACAGGCCTCCCAGTATTGCCGGTCTCGGAAGACATCTGTGGGCAGGTTCTGTAGAGGGAATCTGAGGCTGTGTGGGATGAGCTGCAGGACCCCATGTGGGGAAAGGCAGGAGGCAGCACCAGCTCCTTCACCAGGACCTGAGGGTACTGTGGCTCATCAGGGGCCATCGAGGACATGGAGACCCTGCACAGTGTTTGAGGAGTCCTGCTACATCAGTTTATTCTGGTTTAGGTGGTTGAGGGGAGACTCAGTGAAGTCTTGGGGGTTCAGAGCTACACTGCCAGCCTCTGGGACAGCAGCCCCAGTGTCCCCCGACCCAGGCCTTTCTCCTCCCTGCTGATGAACGCCCACTCTGCTCCCAGATGCACACCTGTCCTGAAGACACCCGGTTCTCATGCTCTTCTCTGCAGCACCTGAATTGGGCATTCCTGGGTAAAGCTGTTTAAGTTACTTTCACTTTTATCCACTTGTTTCCGTTATTTCAACCATGCATGTCCCTTGTGTATGTAGGATAAAGGTGTCTAAGAATAAAGGTCCATGATTTAAAGTTTTTTCCTCTTCTTTCCCTGTCCTGACCACCTGATCATAAACTTGTAGAAATAAAGTGGATCTCATGTTGTGTATCTTTCGATGCATCTAGAGAGATGGTTATATTCATATAAATAAACGGGCACATCCAGCACACTATTTCTAGTTGTCGTCTGCTAATAAGTTTACATCTGGTAAATGCCAGTGTTTCATCAAATGGCTGCATTGCACATGAGTCAATCTGTGTGACAAAGAATATGGCAGGTTTTGTACAGCCTTTGTAAAGACGTTCTTCAATGCTGCCTTTTAAAATAGAAATGTTAAATCCTGTAACTAATCAACCTATGCCTTGTTAGAGGGCTGACATTTTCAATAATTCCTTTACAAAGGGTAGTGAGATGCATCAGATCCCCCAGTGGCCCCCAAGTAGGGACAGTGACAGTCAGCAGTTCTTTACGGACACCTGCTCCGTGGCAGGTTCTCCGCCGGCTCTGGCTGCGGGCGGCCCTCATCTAACAAGATGCTTCGGTCCATGGGTGGAGGACAAAGGCCTACGGGCTTGGGGAGCGAGTTCTTTCGTCTCCTACATGACCTTCATCTGCTCGCGTTTGCCATGAAGCGCATCTGGGTTGGAAGGAGATGGTGGTTTCCCACGGAAGTCTGGTCCCTAAGTGACGCCTCTGCTGCCTACATCAGAATCTCCCAGGCTTGCTCCACAGTGGTCCCGTCATGTGGTGCAGACTCAGGCGCTGTCTTGTGTGTGCAGAGGCAGGCTTGGTCTTGTGTGCTCTTGATCATGCACCTAGTCACATCTGTTCTACAGTGTTGCATTCTTCTAATTTCCATGCACATCTTTGCATAGGCGTGTTCCCATTGTTCCCATGCCAATAAGTGGTGTGCAAGGTTCCAGAGTGCGCCAGTATTTCTTTAGTCGGTGTCATGCTGTTGGATATTCAGGTTTTTTAACCTAGTGTAAATAACATTCACATTTCTAAAAACCAGAAGAGTGTTTGTGATTAAGATATCATCTTAGTGGATATTAAATTGCTGCATCTGATTTCATTTCTCTTTCCCAAATAGTCAGTTGTGTGGGCTAGTCTCATTCTGAAACTGCACACTCCCATCCCAGAGGTAGAAAGCGAGATCTCCTGCCTGCATTTCATGGAGCATGTGATTATGGAGGTGTCCAGTCCCAGCAAACAGACCCCACATTCTTTTCCTTCAGTGACTCAGACGCAATATGTGGAGAGTCCCAGACAGTATCGCTCCCTCACGTTCATTAACCTCCAGAGATTAAACGTCACCTGATACACAGAACTGTGGGTTCCCCGTTTGGCTAAGCATCAGGTGCAGCCAGGTTCTTACCTAGGTGCACGTGACAAGGTGCTGCCAGATGCCACCAGCGCGGACAGTCAGTGAGCCCACCTCATCAGAGGGCACATGAGATCCCCAAATGAGAAAGAACTCTAAGGAGCCAAAATCTGCCAAGATGGGTACATTAAAGCTTGCAACTTTGCACGTGAGTGCACCCTCAGACTCAGCCAGTTTATTCTCCTTTGCAGTCCATTCTGAAAAGTCCAGCCAGATGATGGCTAAAGAGTAGAGAATGGAAGGTGGAAGGCGGTTGCTGCTTGCAGAAGAGGCACGCTGGCAGCATTGGCAGGGAGGAGGAGACTGGAAACTGAGTAGCAGATCCGAGAAACCAAAATGCTCAGCAAATGAGGGCAGGTGGCATGGAGCTACTTCCCTGGGTCCAAGAGCCTAATTACGTTATTGTTCCATAAGTTCATGGCCTGCGGTCATCAGGGAAAATAAAACACTGACTAGGGGTCGGTCTTTTCTGTTTAGAGGAGGCTCCCTGAAACCTCCCCCTCCCGGGTTCAAGCGATTCTCCTGCCTTAGCCTCCCGAGTAGCTGGAACTATAGGCGCCCGCCACCACTCCCGGCTAATTTTTTTTTGTTTTTTTGTTTTTTGTAGAGACGGGGTTTCACCGTGTTAGCCAGGATGGTCTCGATCTCCTGACCTCGCGATCCGCCCGCCTCGGCCTCCCAAAGTGCTGGGATTACAGGCGTGAGCCACCGCGCCCGGCCTCAGCAGGTTTTTCAAAAGTCATGGCGTGTAATTGTCCGAACAGTGAACTTCGGAGATCCACCGGAGGGGCGAGGCCACAGCTCGACCGCGAGCACCTGAGCATCCTGCACCGCCTGCGACGGCCGTCAGGGGGCGCGATGCCGCCTCACAGAACCTCAAGCGGCGCCCGGGTTCCGGCACAGACGGCCTGCGGCTCCAGGGGGCGGAGCCGAGCCGTCTCCTCAGGACCTACGCAGGAGGCGCCGTCATCCCTACAGGGACACCTGAGAGGGCCCAGCCTCCTCCTCCTCAGGACCCACTCGGGAGACGCCGCTGGCTCTCTAGGAACACCTGGGGACCGTGGCCAGGGACGACCCAGCCTCCTTCTCCTCAGCTCCTCAGGAACGACTGGGGAAGCTGTGGCTTCATGGTCCCCGAGGCTGCCCGAGGAAAGGTGAGGAAAAAGCTTTCTGTCCCGGCTCAGTGCTGAGGAGGCCGCGCTGCCTCGCGCTCCACTTTCTCAAGTTGTATTTATTTTATTTTACAAAGTGGCCCATCATTAAGTGGCTTTGTTATTCATTATTACAGCATACCTGAGTTGTTTCATTTTTTAATTTTTGACCAATTTGGGTTTGTTTGGGGTGGATCCGGGACAGAGAAGGGAGAAACCCTGAGGGCAACATGGAGAGCCCCAGGGAGACGCGCACCCCACGACTTGCTTTTATTTGCGTTCCAGTGGCTCGTTTTTCTTAGAGTGTTAAAGTACTTGAAAAATATTGAAGAGCAGATGTAGATGTGAGTTTTCACAACCGTATTTTAAGTGTAAATACTGGACTTTGTTAAAAGGATTTGAGGTAAAATAAATTTAAGCGGAGTTTATTTCAGCAAAGGAATGGTTCATGAATCACGCGGGAAGCACCAGAACGGAAATCGGCTTGGGGCTTCGAGCTCTTAGGGTGGCCCCTAAGTGAGGCTCCTCAGTGGCTCCAGCTAGGCCACCGCCTGTTGTGGGGATGGTTCCCTCAGCGGCCCTAGTCATACAGCCAACTGGCTGCTGGGCTTTTTGGCATTGACTGTGGTTGGTTTGTTAATTTTTTTAAGTCAGTTCAAATGCCTCCAAGTTCGGTTTCTGTTTGCTTAGGGAAGGCCTCAGGCTAACCCCCGCCGTATTTGCTTTAACATGTCAAAACCATAATTTATTTTTCATTTTACTTTCCTGGCATTAATAGAAGTAAATTCACATTTGTGTGTTATTCAGAAAGTCGGTTTAATTGGCAACCTATTTGTGATGGTGCATAAAGTAATGTCTTTTAATCATTGGCATCTTAGATTAGATGAAATATGTTAACTCTCTTAAGCTTTGTTATTAACCCATAACAAGAGTTAAGTTTCTTTTTTTCTCCTAGGCTTTGACCATTTAAAATACACTCAGGCATCTCGTAACGATGTTATACTTTCTGAGAAATCTGTCCTTAGGTGATTTCATCTTTGTGTGAACACTGTAGAGTGTCCTTATAAAACTTAGATGGTGTAGCCCACTCCACACCTAAGTTACATAGTATAGCCTATTGCTCCCAGGCTACGAACCTGTACAGCATGTCTCTGTACTGAATGCTGTAGTCAACCATAACACCATGGTGATTGTAGATTGTGATCCCAGAATATCTGAGACAGGTCTCAGTCAATTTAGAAAGCTTATTTTGCCAAGATTAAGGACACGCCCATGACACAGCCTCAGGAGGTCCTGACGACGTGTGTCCAAGGTGGCCAGGGTAGAGCTTGCTTTTGTACATTTTAGGGATACATGAGACGTGTAAGATGTACAGTCATTTGGCCCAGTAAGGCGGGACAACTGGAAGCAGGAAGTGGGGGTGCTTCCAGGTCAGAAGTAGGTTAGAGACAAAAGGTTGCATTCTTTTGAATCCTTCATCAGCCTTCCACTGAATACACAATTTAGTCTGGCTCAATGAATCTGCATTTTTACATAAATAATAGGGCAGAGGAAGCAATCAGATATGCATCTGTCTCAGGTGAGGGATGACTTTGAGTGCTGTCTGTCCTTTGTCCAAAAGGAAATTCTTTGTGGGCAAATTGTGAGTGAGGTATGTAGCTTTTTATCTTTGTAGCTATCTTAGGAATAGAATGAGGGCAGGTTTGCCTGACATAGCTCCCAGCTTGACTTTTCCCTTGGCTTAGTGATTTGGGGGTCCTGAGATTTATTTTCCTTTCATGGTATCAGAACAGAGAAAAGGTAATGCGTTGAGCCATGAGCTTATGACAAGATGGCTAGGAAGGAATTTTTCAGCTCCATTTTTATCTCATGGGACCACCATCGTATGTATGCAATGCACGAGTGTAAAATCACATTTAGTTAAGTCAGCTTACACTAAGCTATGGACCCAGATGGTCCTGGGGCCTTTTTCCACTGGGAGATCTTTAAGGACCTTTCTTAGCTTTTCTATGCTAATTGGTATATTCATAGTTGCCTTATTTCAGTGCCCATTTTGTTAATGTGTATTTTTACTAGGAAATCACCCATTTTTTCTAGGTTTCCAGTTTGATGCAATTATTTGACTTTTAATTTCTCCTCTGTTTTTAGTTTTGTACATAATTTTCCTATCTACTTTTGCACTCTTTTTTCCATCAACAATGTTTTTAAAATATACTTTTTAGCTTTTTTTGAAGAATTGTTATGTTTGACAATTTTTTATGACCTAATCATGACCGTAAATGATTTTTAATTAATTTCAGCTTAATGTCTTTTGTAGGGCACAACTGTTAAAATACAAAATTACAACAAATGTGGGTTTGCAGATCTTAATTGGCTTTTTTTGTGGTTCTAGAATCAGGCAGCAGTCCAGACCAAAAATGGTTCAGAATGATCTGCCACACAACATGTGCGGGTTATATTTATAGCCAGAGAAAAAAAGTGACATACAGAAGACAGAAGTGAGGTATAGAGGTGGCTGGATTGGTTACAGACCTGGTTACAGCCCGGATTTGCCTTCTTGGAACTTGTTTTGAACAGCTGGCTGCCGGCCATTGACTGACACTCGGCTGATGTGATTGGCTGAACCGCCGCTATTTGTTACCATGATACATTCCCAAGTCAGATTTACAGTTTGTTTCTATACTAAATTAGGTTGCGATTCTTCTTGTTCTTCTTCTTTTTTCTTTTTTGAGGCGGAGTCTCGCTCTGTCGCCCAGGCTGGAGTGCAGTGGCGCGATCTCAGCTCACAGCAAGCTCCGCCTCCCGGGTTCATGTCATTCTCCTGTCCCGGCCTCCCGAGTAGCTGGGACTGCAGGCTGCCGCCACCAAGTCCGGCTAATTTTTTTGTATTTTTTTTTAGTAGAGACTGGGTTTCACCTTGTAAGCCATGATGGTCTCGATTTCCTGACCTCATGATCCACCCGTCTCGGCCTCCCAAAGTGCCGGGATTACAGGCGTGAGCCACGGCGCCCGGCCGCGACTCTTTACAAGGACTCCTTGGGAGGCTTCTAGAGCCCAAATGTTGTTTGATGTAAGAATTCCTCCCTTTTGGTCAGCCTCTCAATTTTGAGATATTGATCAAAACTTTGGGCATTGGTGTCACTCTTTGTTATCGTTGTAAATTGAGTTATTAGGACTTATTTGCTTTCAGTGTGGCATTTTCAAGTTTTATTTGGTCTCAGTGCCCTCTGGGCAATAGCAGAACACTGTGTTGTGTAAGGCGGAAATAGAGCAATAGAAAATAACAACTGATTTGTTAATAACAGATTACTTCAAGTTACTTGTTTTGGTAAGAATTAAAGCAGAGGGGACTTCTTTATGCTGACTCAGGTAGACTGGAATCTCTTCAGGGAAAAAGGGAGCTCTTTTGGGATCTATCTACTTCCTTAAAGTTTCAGCTTCGTTGTGTGTCATTCAGCGTGAGTGTCTCCATTCTGGTTTTGCCTGCTCAGTGTGGCCTAATGCGGGAGTGGTGACCGAAACAATGACCTCCCGTAGTTTGTTCCACAGTTCTCCCCTTTTGGTTGGGTTCCTGCCTAGGTGAGGGTGTGACTAAAACCTTAGGGCATTAGCAGTATTCTCAGTAACTATCATTTTAGGGTTCCGGTCTTAGGGCATTAGCACTATTCTCAGTAACTATCATTTTAGGTTTCCGGTCTTAGGGCATTAGCACTATTCTCAGTAACTATCATTTTAGGTTTCCGGTCTTAGGGCATTAGCACTATCCTCAGTAACTATCATTTTAGGGTTCCGGTCTCAACACGTCATTTAAGAAGTCAGTAAAGCTTTCTTCTATTGTGACAGCATATTTAATACTGAGAAGGAAAAGAAAATTTTTATCTTGCGAATGTGAGCTTCCTCTAAATTATCAGGTCCAGAGAGGCGTGGGAATGAGGCAGCAGTCACGTCCCATTTCCCGCTTAGCTAAGTAATCATATCTTGAAGCTGCTTGCTATGTAGACTAGACTGACTGTCATCAGCTATAGATTAACCTAAGAGTGTCTTTGAATATTTTTTCCAGTGGCAAATATTTGCTTCTGTTGTATCGTAGCTGAAAGGAATGCTGGGAAACAAAATAAAGGCAAGCATTCATTAGAATAAGTGATCCAGTCACAATGAATCAATTTGAACTTTTTTTTTTTTCGCAAAGTCATACTTTGAAAACGTCCAGCCGTAAATTGAAATAGTCTCCAAAATGTGAATTTTTTTCCCTGGTTCTAAGATGACCAGCTTTCTTAGAGAGTGAACTACACCATAAGGAAAATGATATGACCATGTTTACACATATATGTTATCTTAACATAAAACATGTAAAAGGGGCATTTCTTTGAAAGTATATATTAGTCTGTATAATTTACTTTGCAGTATCATGAATGCTCTTATTTTTAAAAGTAGTAGTAGTTACTGTCAATTACTAATTTTTAGTACAAATAATTTAGCAGATATCTGAAAAAATTACAATTTTTAAATAGAGGTTTTATTTTAAATTAGTTTTAGATTCATACAGAAATTGGGAAGAAAATGCAGATTTCCCATGTAGACGCAACCTAGTTTCCCCGCTTTTTAACATACCAACATGTATCAGATAGGTTTAACATCTTTTTTTTTTTTTTTTTTTTTTTTCAGACAGAGTCTCAACCAGGCTGGAGTGCAGTGGCGTGATCTCGGCTCACTGCAACCTCCGCCTCCCAGGTTCAAGCGATTCTCCTGCCTCAGCCTCCTGAGTAGCTGGTATTACAGGCGCCTGCCATCATGCCCGGCTAATTTTTGTATTTTTAGTAGAGATGAGGTTTCACCACGTTGGCCAGGCTGGTCTTGAACTCCTGATCTCAGGTGATCCGCCTGCCTCAGCCTCCCAAAGTGCTGGGATTACAGGCATGAGCCACCACTCCTGACCAACATCTTACATCATTTCTTGTCATACTTAATGACTGGATATTACTATATTATTAAATAAGCTCACATCTTATTTGGTTTCCCTTAGTTCTGCCTTTTTCTCTCCCAGGATCCTATCTAGGATCCCATAGGACATTTAGTCATCATGTCAGGCTCTTCTTGGCTGTGACAATCTCTCAGACTTTACTTCTGAGGACCTGGAACAGTGTTAGGAGGATCGGTCAGGTATTGTGTAGAATGTCCTCCATTGTGGTTTACTTGGGGTTTTTCTCATAATCAGCCTGGGTTTAGGGGTTTGGGGGAAGCAGAGCAGATGTGTAGTGTGTCCACAAAAAGAGTCAAAGACTGTAAAATATTTTAAGAGATGTATTCTGAGCCAAATATGAGTGACCATGGCCCTTGACACAGCCCTCAGGAGACCCTGAGAACATGTGCCCAAGGTCGTTGGGGTGCAGGTTGGTTCTATACATTTTAGGGAGATAGGAGACATCAATCAAGTGTATTTAAGATATATATTGGTTCGGTCCAGGAAGGTGGGACAACCCAATGGATTAGGGTGGGGGGGGGGCTTCCAGGTTATAGGTACATTTAAAATTTTTCTGATTGGCAGTTTGTTGAAAGACTTACTATCAATAGAAAGGAGTGTCTGGGTTATGTTAAGGGGTTATGGAGACCAAGGTTTTATCATGGAAATGAAGCTTCCAGGTAGCAGGCTTCAGAGAGAATAGATTGTAAATGTTTCTTATCAGATTTAAGGTTGTGTTGATGTTAAATGCTGATTGGCTTTTCCTGAATTCCAAAAGGGAGGAGGGCATAATGAGGCGTGTCTGACCACCTCTTTCCCATCATAGCCTGAACCAGTCTTCCAGGTTAACTTTGGTGTCCCCTGGTGGAGAGGTGGTTGGGGGAAAGATCTTTGAATTTTATTTTTGGTTTGCAAGTGCTAGTCTAGTCACTTCACGCTCTCAAGATGTGTTATCACCATTAATGTTAACTTTTATCACTTGGTTGAGGCAGTGTTTTCAGGTTTTTCACTGTGAAGTTACTTTTTTCCCATGTCTATATTGTATGTATGCTTTTGGAGGAAGTCATCATGCAGAGCTCATACTTAAAGGAGTGGGGAGTTAGCCCCACCTCCTTGATGGCTGTCTGTATCAGGTATTTGGAATTCTTCTGTATAAGAGATTTCTATTCAGCCCATTTGCATATCTGTTTAATCATTTATTTATACCAGTATGGGTCCACAGATAGTTACTTTAATCTTTTGGTTGTTATCTAATTGTACAGTATTTTGTTGCTCTTTGTTCATACCTGTGGCCATTGGTAGCTCTTTCCACTGGCTTCTTTTACATAATTTCATGTTTTTTTTTTATAATTTATTTCTGTTACTTCAAAAGTACCCTGGCTCATATATTTTCTGTCCCAGTCCTAGTTTCAGCTATTTCTTCTAATAGCCCTGATTTCTTTTGTTAGAGAATGGTATGAAAAACTTACATCTGGCCACTAAATGTGGTCATTGCATCATGACACTTACAGCTGACAGTGCAAAGAAATATATGTGTGTCTTCTAACTTATATGTACCCACTTAATTATAAAGGTTTCTATGTGGAACCATCTATGTATATGTTAAGCTAAATGTGAGTTTATACTTACGTTGTATATATATATTCTGACTCATGATGACAGAGACCACTCTAGGCTTCCCTATTTTTTATCTGTAACTTCTCACTGTAATAGTGAGGAACCTGGCTCCTACCATCTGCCGTATACATTCTGACTCCTGATGACAGAGACCACTCTAGGCTTCCCTGTTTTTTATCTGTAACTTCTCGCTGTAATAGTGAGGAACCTGGCTCCTACCATCTGCCGTATACATTCTGACTCCTGATGACAGAGACCACTCTAGGCTTCCCTGTTTTTTATCTGTAACTTCTCGCTGTAATAGTGAGGAACCTGGCTCCTACCATCTGCCGTATACATTCTGACTCCTGATGACAGAGACCACTCTAGGCTTCCCTGTTTTTTATCTGTAACTTCTCGCTGTAATAGTGAGGAACCTGGCTCCTACCATCTGCCGTATACATTCTGACTCATGATGACAGAGACCACTCTAGGCTTCCCTGTTTTTTATCTGTGACTTCTCACTGTAATAGTGAGGAACCTGGCTCCTACTATCTGCCATTCATTTCATCCCTTGTACCACTGGGAACAAGGAATTCATTCTTGATCAAGATTCCAGGTTGGGACTTAATAAGAAATATATGTTTGGTCTGTGTCTGCAGTTCCTGGTACAGAGCTTCTAAAACTATTATAATTTCCTGAACAGTAGGGGTGCTAGGAGCATCTTGTGTTCTAATATTTGGTCTTTGGCCCTGGTTCCTGACGCAGAGTTCCTAAATCTCTTGGAATCTCCTGGATAATAGGAATGGCTTCTGTTCTAATAAGGACACTCTGTGGGTTCCTGGGTGGTTTCAGGATGGGGATGGTCACCAGAAAGACCAAGCCATGATAAGAAGGTTGTAACTTTTAGCTTAACATGCAATCCTTTGAGGGTGTGAAGGGACTGGAAATTGAGTTAATAATCCGTCATGTCTACATGATGAAGCTTCCATAAAAATTCCTAAAATATGGAATTTGGAAAGTTCCAGATCAAGGCTGACAGATTTGATGTCTAGTGAGGGCTCATCTATCATAGATAGTGCCTTCTAGCATGTCGTGACATGGCAGAATGGGGAAACGGGCTCCTAGATGCTTTTATAAGGGCACTGGTTTCATTCATGAGGACAGCACTCTCATGATCCGATCACCTCTCGGTTACCTCTGAATACCATCCCTTTGGGGATTACATTTCAAAATAGGAATTTGGGGTGGGGGTGTACACACATTGAGACCATAATAACTAGTAAACATAAGTAAGTATTTCCTAGTTCCATAAGCCATCATAGCAAATTGTCAAACCTGAAGAGGGGGTGTAGGAATGCCTAGTTTCTAGCCAAGTCATATAGAAGTTTGGGTAAACTGGGGATTCACTACTTGTGATTGGCATCTGAGGTTGTGGACAGTCTGGTGTTACTAAGCCCTTAACCTGTAGGGTGTATACTAACTCCAGGTAATCAGTGTCACAGTTGAATTACAGGATACCCAATTGTTTTCCAGAGAGTTGGAATATTGGTTGGTATGGGAAACACCCCCCACCCCCCACAATTTGCTGTTAAAAGTGGAGTGTTGATAGTATAGAGGAAAATCATGGTTATTTTTCTTTTTACAGATATAGTAGTTTCAAAATTAACTATTATCCCTATGGGAAATAACTTTATAAAATAGAGTCCACTGTTCGTGTATATAGTACGTTTTGTTTTTAGTCTATGGATTCTACTCATTTCCAGCTCAGCACCTTTGGCCCACCACTTGCAACATACATTGGTAATACAGTTAGATTCTTGGTTGCACTCTGTATTTTGTCCTTAGATACTTCCACATCCTAAATAATTTAATTTGTGTAGGTTGTGATTTGTTCTTTGTGCATTAAAATTCTGTGGGTTTTATCAAATGCATAGTGTCAGATATCCACTACTGAAGTAGCATACAGAATACTTCAAATCCCCACCCCAGACAGTCACTGATCTGACTATCATCTCTTTGGTTGTGCTTTTTCCAGAATGTTATATGAATGGAGTCATATAATGTATAGCATCTTCATACTGCCACCCTTTACTTAGCAACATAGATGCAAGATTCATTCATTTGTTTTCATGGATTGACAGTTCATTCCTTTCTGTTGGTGAATGGTATTCCATTGCATGGTTGTACTTCAAATTGATTATGCATTCAGCTATTGAAGAACGTTCTGATTACTTCAAGTTTTGGCCATTATGAGTAGAGTGGCTCGTATATAATTACATGCTAGTTTTTGTTTGAACATAATTTTTCAAAGCAGCTGTCTAAACATACACAATTTAGGGGTGCATTTGTTGGATTGTAAGGTAAGACTTGTTTATCTTTGGGAAAAACTGTCAAACTATTTCCCAAAGTGGCTGTACCCATTCATGCATTCTGCCAGTAATGAATGGCCGTACCTATTGTTCTTCAACCTCCAATTTTTACTGTTGAGCTTTTTTAAGAGTCCCACAGTTGTACTAGGTGTGCAGTGATATCTCAGCATTATTTTAATTTGCAGTCTCCTAATGAGATATATTGAGCATCCTTTTGTGTGATTATGTGCTATCTGTATATTTTCTTTTTTTTCTTTTTTCTTTTTTTTTTATTGAGATAGAGTCTCGTTCTGTCACTCAGGCTGGAGTGCAGTGGCGTGATCTTGGGTCACTGCAACCTCTACCTCCAATGTTCAAGCAATTCTCTTGCATCAGCCTCCCAAGTAGCTGGGATTACAGGCACCCACCACCATGCCTGGCTAATTTTTTTGTATTTTTAGTAGAGAGGGGGTATCACTATGTTGGCCAGGCTGATCTCAAATTCCTGACCTCAGGTGACTCACCCGCCTCAGCCTCCCAAAGTGCTGGGGTTATAGGCATGAGCCACCACACCTGGCCTGCTATCTATATATTTTATTTGGCTGGATGTCTGTTCAGATATTTACCCAGTTTTATTTGGGTTTTTAGTTTTCTTAGTGTTCGTTTGAAGAGTTCTTTGTGTATTTTCAATACAGTTTTTAAAATCACGTTTGTATTTTGTAAATATCTTCTGACAGTGTGTCTTGTCTTTTTGTTCTCTGAATAGGGTTTTTCATAGTAGAAAATTTAGTTTTATAAAGTCTGTTCTCAGTATTTTCACGAATTGGCACTTGATGCTGTGTGTAAAAACTCAACACCAGATCCAATGTCTCTTAGGTTTTCTTTTAGGTTATTTATAGTTTTGCAATTGAAGTTGTAGTCTCTGGAGTATTTTGAGTAGGTTTTTGTGTTTTAATTTGTGTATAGAGTCATTTCATTCTATATGGCTTCCAAATAATTCTTCCATCACCATTTATGGGAAGGGTATGGATATACTGGCCTTTATTTCGGTTTGAATTTCCAAAATTATGACACTGAATAAACTGAATATTGAATTTTATAGGTATTTCAGGACAGCCAGGAGGGGGCGCACATCCGCCGAGAAACTGTGAGCAAGAGCGTCTGTGCTGAACCATGGCGCCACCAGAGGGCGCGCGATCCCGCCCCAACCAACTTCCCGCTGAGGTGCCAGAAGCAGCGAGGAGCTTCAGCTTCCTCAGGGCAGCACGAGGGTCGTGTTAACTTGGTGTTCTTCATTGGTGAGTAAAAAGCTCCTGTCCACGGCCCTGAGTGCCAAGGAGTGAGTCTTTAGAGTACTCAGCAGAGGAAGAAATTCATCTAGAAAAATAAAACCCCCAAATCTCACTGTTTGGAGTACACCCTAATATCATTGTCAACGTCCAAGACACAGTGGCTGTTAATATATATTCTTACAGTGGCCTCTAATATAATAATCACACTGTGCCCTACATTACTATGATATCCACACCGTGTCCTAACACCTATATAATATTCACACCATGCCCTAACACTGATGTAATCCACACCATCGCTTCCAAAACTAATGTAATAATATCCACACCATGCCCTAACACTGATGTAATCCACACCATCGCTTCCAATACTAATGTAATAATATCCACACCATGCCCTAACACTGATGTAATCCACACCATCGCTTCCAATATTAATGTAATAATATCCACACTGTGCCCTAACACCCATATAATATTCGCACCATGCCCTATCAATGATCTAGTCCACACCATCGCTTCCAATACTAATGTAATAATATCCACACCATGCCCTATCACTGATCTAGTCCACACCATCACTTCCAATACTAATGTAATAATATCCACAGCATGCCCTATCACTGATCTAGTCCACACCATCGCTTCCAATACTAATGTAATAATATCCACAGCATGCCCTATCACTGATCTAGTCCACACCATCGCTTCCAATACTAATGTAATAATATCCACAGCATGCCCTATCACTGATCTAATCCACACCATCGCTTCCAATACTAATGTAATAATATCCACAGCATGCCCTATCACTGATCTAGTCCACACCATCGCTTCCAATACTAATGTAATAATATCCACACCATGCCCTATCACTGATCTAATCCACACCATCGCTTCCAATACTAATGTAATAATATCCACACCATGCCCTAACACTGATGTACTCCACACCATCGCTTCCAATACTAATGTAATAATATCCACACCATGCCCTATCACTGATCTAGTCCACACCATCGCTTCCAATAGTAATGTAGTAATATCCACACCATGCCCTATCACTGATCTAGTCCACACCATCGCTTCCAATACTAATGTAATAATATCCACACCATGCCCTAACACTGATCTAGTCCACACCATCGCTTCCAATACTAATGTAGTAATATCCACACCATGCCCTATCACTGATCTAGTCCACACCATCACTTCCAATACTAATGTGATAATATCCACACCATGCCCTATCAGTGATCTAATCCACACCATGGCTTCCAATACTAATGTAGTAATATCCACACCATGCCCTATCACTGATCTAGTCCACACCATCGCTTCCAATACTAATGTAGTAATATCCACACCATGCCCGATCACAGATCTAGTCCACACCATCGCTTCCAATACTAATGTAATAATATCCACACCATGCCCTATCACTGATCTAGTCCACACCATCGCTTCCAATACTAATGTAATAATATCCACACCATGCCCTATCACTGATCTAATCCACACCATCGCTTCTAATACTAATGTAATAATATCCACACCATGCCCTAACACTAATGTAATATCTGCACCATTCCCCAACACCGATACAATATCCACACCATTCCCTAACACTAATCTAAATATCCATAGCATGCCCTAACAGTAATATATTGACACAGTGGCCTCTAATACCAATAAATATAATCATATCTACTAAGTGGACTCTGTTGACATTGAGACTTTTTTAAGGGTTTTACAGCTTTGGCTGAACTATAGCCTCTGTAATGGATTTTAATGATGTGTCTGCTTTCCTGGCATGGTATTGACATGGTTGTTTTAAAAAGTAACTTATTTTCCAATAATGTCATATTTCTAGGCAACTTCCAGTAGTAGTACAAAGTACAACTTGTTTCTTCCCTTAGGTTCCCCAACAGTTATTGCTGTACCAGATTTGCAGTGTCCCACAAAATACTCCGGTATGTTGTACTGAAAGCATGGACACTCTCCCAGGTAACTACCACATAACCCCTAGATCAGGAAATCAGCATTGTTCCTCCATGATAATTCGGTCCACAAACTCACTTCACTTTTACCTCATGCCACACTTGGGAGTATAATGTGTATTTTTTTTTTTTTCATTAGGATCCAGTTTTCTTTTCCTGGAACTGTTCCCCAGACTTTCCTGCGTATTTATGACCTTGACACATTTAAAGAGCATACAGGTTTTTGTTTGAACAGTTGTTTTCAGGTCTTTGGGGTATATACCTAGGAATGGAATTATTGACTCATATGGTAAATATATTTGTAACTTTATGAGGAAACATCAAATTATTTCACACGTAGGCTGCACCATTTCATATTGTCACAAGCAGTGTTTAAGAGTTCAAGTTTCTGCACATCTTTGTCAACACTTGTTAGTTTTTAGTATAACTATTCTTGTGTGAGTTAAGGGTTATCTCTTTATGGTTTTAATTATGGTAATGATGCTAAGCATCTTTTCATGTGCTTGTTGGTGAAGTGTGTATTAAAGTCTTTTGTCAATTTTTAGATTGGGTTGTCTTTGCTATGGAGTTGTAAAAGTTCTTTATACATTCTGGATAACAGACACTGATGAAGTATCTAATGTGCAGACATTTTCTTCCATTTTATAGGTTGTTGGAACGTAATAAGAGTTAATGTGTGGTCTCTGCTGCAGTGTCCTGAAACAGAGCGCTAAGCCTTGGGAATGTACGAAGTAATGTGTCTTTCGTATGCTAATGAAATGATTGATGGCTGGGGGCACCTGGACAGCCTCAGTGGGTCTGGCTGCCAAGGGAAGCAACCTTGTCATGAGAGGATTTGAAATTTCTTCCCCCGTCCCGTCTCTGTGAAGGGGAGAGGTGCTGATGGTTGAGTTGATCACCTATGGCCACAGACGTAACCAATCTGCCTGTGTAATAAAGGACAGGGTTGGGAGAGCATCTGTGTTGCTCTCCCAACACAGGAGATACTGGGAGGATCATATCTGGCGAGGGCATGGGAGGCCTGCATTCCTTCCATATACCTCACCTTGTGCATCTCTTCATCTGGCTTTTCATTTGTAGCATTTAAAAGATCCTTGGTAATGAGTCAGGAATAGTAAGTACACTGCTTTCATGGGTTGTGTAATGTTATGTAGCAAATTGCTGAACCCAATAAGGGTATTGTGGGAGCCTCCAATCTGTAGCAAAGTCAGACAGAAGGTAACCTGGGAACCTACTGTTTGTGGTTGGCATCTTAAGTGGTTACAGTCTTGTAACTGAGTACCCATATTTTCTTAAAGAAGAAATGAATTAGTTTTACCATTTTGCTGTTCCTGCATTTAGCTCTTTAGGAATGCAATTATAAGCTTTACTGTCTCTCCACCAGACACTTCCTATACTGCAAACTTTTCCAACTGTGTGATTACTTGTAAGTTCCAGGGACCAAACCTTGAAACAAACTGGCACTTCCCTATCTCTCCCCCACCAGGAGATTGGCAGCAGACAACAGTCAATTTACAACCTGGCTCTGCCCGTGGTGGTGCTAGCAAGACCACCTAATGGAGAAAACATCAGAGCATGTCCCATAGACCCCGCACCTCCTCACCTCATCCCCTGCATGCCATTCTGGCAAGTCCGAAGCCCCGCTTTCTGCCCAGAAAGTGGAAGCGCTTCCCTTAAGGCAAGAGCCTGTATGTTCCCTTCAGCTAAGCTCTGGCATAAAGTCACTTTCTTTTTACCATCCTTGTGTTTGTCATTTAAATTTGCAAGCAACAAGGGGCATGACGTGTATTCCTAGGACTGAGCCCTTAGCCTGTGGGGTCTGATGCTTTCTCCATTTACTGTCACAATTGGATTGCACTGTAGGACACCCAGCTGGTACCCAAGATTTGGTCTGTGTGGGGAAAAAACCCATGTATCTGGTAACAGAAGTGTTCTGTGTTGAGTGTTGAGAGTATACTATAAGACAGTTGTTTTTCCTATTATAACATTTTGTCTTTCAACTTTTTTCTTCATGTCTTCTGAGACATAAAAGTTGTGAATTTTGAGGAAATAAATTGATTTATTTTTCCTTTTGTGGTCTGTGCTTTTGGTGTCAGATGTAGGAAACTATTGCTATGTGTAAGGTCATGAATGCTTAACTGTACGTTTTCTTCCAGAGTTTTTAGTTTTCACCTGTTTTGGTCTTTGATCCATTGTAAGTTAATTTTTTATGTGGTATGAGGTAAGGATACAATTTCATTTCCCTTTATGTGGATAGCAAGTTGCCTTACATCACTTGTTGAGGACAGGATTCTTTCCCCAATTTACTGGTAATGGACCTTGTCTAAAATCAGTTGAGCATAGAGGTATTGTTTTCTGTCTGGACTCCCAATTCAATTCAGTTGATCTTTCTGTTTATTCCTGTGCAAGGATCCCACTGTTTTTATTACTGTTCCTTTGTAATAAAATTTGAAATTGGGATGTGATCAGGATCAGCTTATCCACTTCTGTCCCAAGGCCTTTGGGATTTTTGTAGGAATAACATCGAATCCACGGATTGCTTTGTGTACTTTGGGAAACTTAACAATGTGGTCTACAAATCCACAAATAAGATACATTTTTACATTTATTGGAAGTTTAATTTCCTTAAGTAATGTCTTATAATTTCCCTCATCTAAGTCTTGTCGTTTCATTCCATTTATTCCTAAGTATAATATTGCTATTGGTATTATTTAAGGTAGAATTTTCATAATTTGGTTTAGAGATTATTCATTCCTAGCATATACATATAAAATGGAATGTTTGGCCAGGCACCCGGGCTCATACCTGTAACCCAAGCAGGTTGAGAGGCTGAGGAAGGGTTAGGGTTAGGGTTGGGGTTGGGGTTGGGGTTAGGCTTAGGGCTTAGGGCTAGGGCTAGGGCTAGGGCTAGAGTTAGGGTTGGGTTAGGGTTGGGTTAGGGTAGGGTTAGGGTTAGGGGTTAGGGGTTAGGGTTCGGGTTCGGGTTTGGGTTATGGTTAGGGTTCGGGTTTAGGGTTCAGGTTTATGGTTCGGGTTAGGGTTCAGGTTAGGGTTCTGGTTGGGTTTAGTGTTAGGGTTTAGGGTTCGGGTTTGGGTTAGGGGTTAGGGTTAGGGGTGTGGGTGAGGGTGAGGATGAAGGTTAAGGGTTAGGGTTAGGGGTTAGGGTTAGGGTTAGGGTTAGGGGTTAGGGTTAAGGATTAAGGGTTAAGGGTCAGGGTCAGGGGTTTGGGTCAAGGGTTAGGGTTAGGGGTTAAGAGTTAGGGGTTAGGGATTATGGTTTGGGTGAGGGGTGAGGGGTGAGGGTGAGGGTTAGGGTTAGCGTTTTAGGGTTATGGTTAGGGTTAAGGGTTAGGGTTAGGGGTTAGGGGTTAAGGGTTAGGGGTAGGATAAGGGTAGGGTTAGGGTTAGGGTTAGGGTTAGGGTAAGGATTAGGGTTAGGGTTAGGGTTAGGGTTCGGGTTTAGGGTTCAGGTTTATGGTTCGGGTTAGGGTTCAGGTTAGGGTTCTGGTTGGGTTTAGTGTTAGGGTTTAGGGTTAGGGTTAGGGTTAGGGTTGGGTTAGGGTTAGGGTTCGGGTTAGGGTTAGGGTTAGGGTTAGGGTTAGGGTTAGGGTTCGGGTTTAGGGTTCAGGTTTATGGTTCGGGTTAGGGTTCAGGTTAGGTTTCTGGTTGGGTTTAGTGTTAGGGTTTAGGGTTCGGGTTTGGGTTAGGGGTTAGGGGTTAGGGTTAGGGGTGTGGGTGAGGGTGAGGATGAAGGTTAAGGGTTAGGGGTTAGGGTTAGGGTTAGGGTTAAGGGTTAGGGTTAGGGTTAGGGTTAGGGGTTAGGGTTAAGGGTTAAGGGTCAGGGTCAGGGTCAGGGGTTTGGGTCAAGGGTTAGGGTCAAGTGTTAGGGTTAGGGGTTAAGAGTTAAGGCTTAGGGATTATGGTTTGGGTGAGGGGTGAGGGGTGAGGGTGAGGGTTAGGGTTAGGGGTTAGGGTTAGGGTTAGGGTTAGGGTTAGGGATGTGGGTGAGGGTGAGGATGAAGGTTAGGGTTAGGGTTAGGGTTAGGGTTAGGGTTAGGGTTAGGGTTAGGGTTAGGGTTAGGGGTGTGGGTGAGGGTGAGGATGAAGGTTAAGGGTTAGGTTTAGGGGTTAGGGTTAGGGTTAGGGTTAAGGGTTAGGGTTAGGGTTAAGGGTTAAGGGTCAGGGTCAGGGGTTAGGGTTAGGGTTAGGGTTAGGGTTAGGGTTAGGGGTGTGGGTGAGGGTGAGGATGAAGGTTAAGGGTTAGGTTTAGGGGTTAGGGTTAGGGTTAGGGTTAAGGGTTAGGGTTAGGGTTAAGGGTTAAGGGTCAGGGTCAGGGGTTTGGGTCAAGGGTTAGGGTCAAGGGTTAGGGTTAGGGGTTAAGAGTTAGGGGTTAGGGATTATGGTTTGGGTGAGGGGTGAGGGGTGAGGGTGAGGGTTAGGGTTAGCGTTTTAGGGTTATGGTTTGGGTTAAGGGTTAGGGTTAGGGGTTAGGGGTTAAGGGTTAGGGGTAGGATAAGGGTAAGGATTAGGGTTAGGGTCAGGGTAAGGGTAAGGGTAAGGATTAGGGTTAGGATTAGGGTTAGGGTTAGGGTTAGGGTTTTAGGGTTAGGGTGTTAGGGTTAGGGTTAGGGTTAGGATTAGGGTTAGGTTTAGGGTTAGGGTACTGTAAATAATTTCACATTATTACTAATAATAAATTATTATTTGTATTACACTATTACATAATGTAAAGGCTATTAAGACATGTTTGTCTTCAAAGAATGGCGTTGGTTTCTGTGGGCAGTGCCTCCTCATGGAAGGGTAATGCATTCCTGCTAAATCATGGACTAAACGGGCTTCCAGGAGCTACAGGCTGCAGCAGCAGCTTCTCCTCTACGTCCTTCACTGCCTCAAACTGTTGTTGACTTTGAAAGCTTCTTTCAGTCTAGTTTTATCAACAGAGCTAGTATTTCATGAGGTTCTACTACATACCAGGTTCCAGAAAGCTAAATGCCTTTTGTTTGTTATTATTCTCTAAATACAAATCACAACTCCTCATTACTCACACAACAAAATTTAGCTGCGGGAGATTGAGTGACTTTCCCAGGGTCACATAGCTACTAAGAGCAGAGTCGTGTTTAGATTCATGTGGGAATATTGAACACAGAAATGAACCAGTGGAAACATCCTATGTTCCAAAAGCCTACTCAAGCCATTTGTTCTTATTTTAAGGAAAATCTTTATGCTAATTTTAAACTCCAAATACTTACGAATGGCAGAGATCTACAGATTTGATTCTGATGTAAGAAATGATGGTCACCAGCTGGTTACTGCTACCACCCCACAACCCCGAGCATACTGGACGAATGTCTAAGCCTTGTGGTTAGTGGGGACAATGCTGGTGGAGTCTGAAGTTGTCATGCAGTGACTCATGCAAGCTTAGGCAGATTTGGTGATATATGACACAGAGATGCAAAGAAATGTTGTAGCTGACACACACAGGCTGGCTCTGGGAGATGCAGAAGGAGCACGTCACCCAAAATAGAGCCAGACAGACATCCTTAAGGAAGGAGCAAAGGGGCTGCATCTTAAAGAATGTAGAAAGGATTTGTCATGAGAGATGGGGCAGGAAGTTCTTGAGAGGCAGAGGGAGAGCATGAGAATGTTGGGAAGGGAGGAGAGATTCTTGCACATCTGGGAAGCTGACAATCCATCAGCATGGCCAGAAGGAAAATAAGGAGGAGGAGCAGAAATAGATGAGGCTGGATATAGAAGCAGGGCTGAAGCTGTGTCAATTGTGGTAAAGAGTTGTGATTCTATCCAGAACGCAATAGGTAGCATTCTAAACAGAGATCTTTTAAAACAAGAGTCAGCAAGTATTTTCTGCAAGGGGCTAAATGTTAAATATTTTAAGTTTTCCAAGCCATATGGTCTCTCTCTCAATGACTCAGCTCTTCCATTATACCATGAAAGTAGCCAGAGACATTATGTAACACATGTATTGGCTGTGTCCCATTACAACTTTACTTACAAACGCAGACTGTGTCAGACATGGTCCATGCATGGTAGTTTGCCACACTCTGTTTTAGAAAGCTCAGGTTTATGATGTGATGGAGAATGCCCACAAGAGCTCTTGTTTTAAACGGTAGAGTGAACATACACTGGAATTCTATCCTGCTTGACACAAGCTCTTGATAGCGAAAGGTAGAAAAGATAGATGGTAAATGGATAGATAGATGATAGATAAAGAAAATACATAGCTGTTCCAGAAAACAGAAATGGATAACTTCATGAACCAAAAGCAGAGTAATATACTTTAGAAAGGAAGCAGGCCGGAAAACCCACAGTTGCAAAACAAATAGAATTTCCAACTGCCTCTTGTAGCCCCTTCCTGGAAGTAGTCACAGCCCGGGGTGTTCAACTTCTTCCTCTGTTTTTTGTTTGTTTGTTGTTTGCTTTTCTGTGGGGTTTTTGTTGTTGTTGTTTGCTTTTAAAAAAAAAATTCCCTTTCCCTGCTTTTTTGTCACAGCAGCCTTTGTCACTTCAAACACCGCAAGTGTTCTTTTAAAAAAATTATATCAACCTTTCAATTCAAATGCAACATGTCTGAAACTTGGTATCTGGAGAGGTGAGTTGGACAAAGGAGCCCTTGTTACTGCACGTTTTCATTCTTCAAATTTCACCTTGCACGCAGTAACAGACAGTGCACAAAGCCACTTCCTTATGGACGGAAATTCTGAAATCCTTTTATGCCTGGCCTTTCCATCCTTCAACTTCCCCTCTCCCACGCTGTGAATGATTGTATTGGACATTTTTGTTTTAATGTCAGTGACAGGGGAACACAGGTAGCTCTAATATAGCTGTGACCCAGATGCTTCTGTTTCTAGCATGTATTTATTTTGTAGCAAACATTTACATCCATGATGTTTCACTGTCTTTTGAAAATAATTAGGCAATATCTCATCTGAGGTAGGATGTTTCTAGGGGTTGTGTTCTGAGGGAGGAAAACTAATCTGTTCTCTTTCCACTGCATTCTAGGAACAGTAAGAGGACCTTGTGCATGAATAATTTGTTTCCACACTACAGAGTGGGTAATAAGCAGATTAGTAAAAACAATTCTGCTTCACTTCAATAACAGCCTCCTCCAACTCATTTTTTCTCAACAAACTTATTTTTCCAGCAGAAGAATCCCAGACTTCTTAGAGAACCCAGTGACTTTTTGCAACTTAAATCTGTGAAATCCTTATGTTTTCTTCTGCCGTATCCATAGTTCAAACAAAGATGAGGCAAAGCTAGACGCATTCCTGAAGGAACCCAAGAAATTCCTCTCTTTCTTTCTCTGGAATGAAATGAATTCTCTAGACCACCAGTTCTAACCTTCAAAAACCAAACCTGTTTGTGAGATCTCCTTCAAATACTACTGTAGACCCCAGTGTTTATTCATTAAATTTTTTAAATATTTGTTTTATTTGGAATCCATGTATTTGTAATTTTAGTGTTTGTATTAATATCAGGGAGAAATGTTTAAATCTGTCTTATGCCATATGTGCCTCTGGCTTATTGCCCAATTAATTGTAGTCTCAGGCTAAACTTTGGTTTCTGTCTTTAATTTTTGTCAGAAGAAATATAACTGATCTCAAAACATCTGCTTTTATTGTAGGGGCTTGTGCTGCCGTCTCCATTCTTCTCTCTTTTCTTGCAATCTGGGTGGAAGTTCTTTAATATGAACATTTCAACCACCTTCATTCTACCATGTCCACTATCAGCACATTCAAACTGATCCAGCCAAGGCTGTCATCTTAGGCCAGGGATTTTTTAGGAATCTATTTTGCTGTGATGCGGCTGGCACCCCTTTGACTCACTGTATCACCCCAGGGTTCTTTTCATTTCAGAAGCCCAAGAGGGCAGAAAAAGAAGTAGGTGAGCAATTAAACACTCTGAGTCAGGAGCGTCTCCCCTTGCGTTAAGCAATGTTGTAGAACATCGATGTTCTACATCGATGTTGGCGACCTTGGTACCATTTTGTCCACTTGATTGGAAAAGCCAGTCAATAATTTCAGGTCACTGTTGGCCTTAGAAGAAGAGCCCAAAGGCAACAAGCAAAGGCGCTGGTGTCCAGTCGCCTTCTAGAAGCATTTTCACTTTCCCTTAAGGTTTCCCTTGATGAACATAGAAGTACTGTATGTAGAATTGACCCAGTGCTGCCCTGGCAACTTTGTATATTAGGCCAAATTTACATTTCTTACCTTTATGAGAGGCACCCTGGTAGGCTAGTGGAGTTACACACAAAGTCTGATCTCAGCTGCACTGTCCAGAAATGCAACACGGTCCAATCAAATAACATTCTCTGAGCCTGTTTCTTTAGCTGTGAAAGAAGAATAACATACCCATCTAAAAAGGCAGCTTATTGTATTTGATTGGTCTTTTATTTTCTATGAAACTGTGTTTAACACAGTAATTATTTTCATTTGTGTACTACATTTGTGTTGTGTTTTTGGTTTTAGTTTTGTTTTTGAAATGGAGTCTTTTTTTTAGTGGTTTTTTGTTTTGTTTTGTTTTGTTTTGTTTTTGAGATGGAGTCTTTCTATTGTCACCCAGGCTAGAGTGCAGTGGCATGATCTCCGCTCACTGCAACCTCCACCTCCCAGGTTCAAGTGGTTCTCCTGCCTCAGCCTCCTGAGAAGCTGGGATTACAGGTGCCCACCACCATGCCCAGCTAATTTTTAAAATATATTTTTAGTAGAGATGGGGTTACAACATGTTGCCCGGGCTGGTCTCAAACTACTGACGTCAAGTGATCCACCTGCCTTGGCTTCCCAAAGTGCTGGGATTATAGGCATGAGCCACCGCGCCTGGCTTGTTTTAAAATAAGGGTTTCTTGGCTAGGCATGGTGGCTCACACCTGTAATCCCAGCACTTTGGGAGGCCAAGGTCAGTGGATCACCTGAGGTCAGGAGTTCGAGACCAGCCTGACCAATATGGAGAAACCCTGTCTCAACTGAAAATACAAAATTAGCCAGGCGTGGTGGTGCATGCCTGTAATCCCAGCTACTCAGGAGGCTGAGGAAGGAGAATTGCTTGAACCCAGGGGGCAGAGATTGCAGTGAGCTGAGATCGCACCATTGCACTCCAGCCTGGGCAACGAGCAAAACTCTGTCTCAAAATAAAAAAAAGATTTCTTAAAATGATATTTTCAGTATTTTATAGATGATGTGTAAGCAGCAAGCTTAATAGGATGTTACCCGACACTTTGCGAGACTGGCAGCTGATTTGATCCAGATGTCTCTAATTCTTTTTTCTTTTTCTTTTTCTGTTTTTTTTTTTTTGACAGAGCCTTGCTCCGTCCCCCATGCTGGAGTGCAGTGGCACGATCTCGGCTCACTGCAACCTCCACCTCCTGGGTTCAAGCGATTCTCCTGCCTCAGGCTCCCGAGTAGCTGGGATTACAGGCGCGCGCCACCATGCCCAGCTAATTTTTTGTATTTTTGGTAGAGACAGCATTTCACCATGTTGGCCAGGCTGGTCTCGAACTCCTGACCTTAGGTGATCTGCCTGCCTCGGCTTCCCAAAGTGTTAGGATTACAGGCGTCAGCCACTGTGCCTGGCCCAGATGTCTCTAATTCTAACATGAGATGTATTGCAGGATCATAGCAGAGTGAGTTGCTGATGTATCCAGAAGGAAACGAGCATGGAACACTCACGACAGCTGTCCTGAGAAGTGTGTGTGTGCTGTGCTTGAATATCTCACTGCTCATTTATACACAGGCTTTCTGGTGACTGAGTTAACAGTATCTGTTTCATAAATAATGTAGCCCTCTTTCTTTCTTTCTCTCTCTCTCTTTTTTTTTTTTTTTTTTTTTTTTTTTTTTTGAGACAGGGTCTTGCTCTACTACCCAGGCTGGAGTGCAATGGTGCAGTCTCAGCTCACCGCAACTTCACCATGCCTGGCTAATTTTTTCTTTTTTTTTTTTTTGAGACGGAGTTTCGCTGTTTTTGCCCAGGCTGGAGTGCAATGGCACAATCTCGGCTCACCACAATCTTTGCCTTTTGGGTTCAAGGGATTCTCCTGCCTCAGCCTCCCGAGTAGCTGGGATTACAGGCATGTGCCACCACACCCGGCTAATGTTGTAGTTTTAGTAGAGACGGGGTTTCCCTATGTTGGTTAGGCTGGTCTCAAACTCCTGACCTCAGGTGATCTACCCGCCTCGGCCTCTCAAAGTGCTGGGATCACAGGCATGAGCCATCACTCCTGGCCTAATTTTTGTATTTTTAGTAGAGAGAGGGTTTCACTCTGTTGGCCAGGCTGGTCTCGAATTCCTGACCTCAAGTTATCTGCCTGCCTCGGCCTCCCAAACTGTTGGAATTACAGGCGTGAACCACCATGCCTGGCCAGCTCTATTTCTTTAAGCCTACATGTTTTGCACTTGTTAAAAGTATTTGAACATACAATTACTCAGCTTCCCTTGTTTACGCGTGAATTTTGTAGAATCTTAAATATTTTTTCCAATCTAAGCTTTATTTTATCCCGTTTCTTCTATATTTGTATAACTTTAGGTGGCTATCTTCATTGAAAGTTTTTTCTCAAAAGCCTTAAGATAGAACATAGTTCTTGGCAGCAATTTGAAAGTTATTTGAGGAGAAGGGGAGACTTACAATGATGATTCAAATGAAGGAAACTAAAAAGTAATGAAGCAAGGCAGAGGAAAAAGCAGTACTCACTTGAGCACATCCCAAAAGAATAACATTTCAAATGTAACTAGAAAAAAGTATGCTGAAGTTCGCAATACAGAAATAATTATTAATAAGATAGCTTTAAAGCCCTGCTCAGCTTTTGAATGTTGGGAATTGACCCAGAGGTGGCTGTAACCTAAGATGGTTCCTTCAGTAATGACCATTTTTTCTTTTTCAAGATGATGATTATTCCCCACCTTCTAAGAGACAAAGACCAACGAGCCACCACAGCCACCAGTCCCAGAACCCGCCAATGCTGGGGAACGGAAAATGAGGGAGTTCAACTCTGGTAAGTTCTCAGCGAAATCCATGACCTTTTCCTTTATCTTCTGGACTCTCAGTGTGACTGATGAAAGTTACCACATGCTCTGCAGGGGGAAATGGTTTAGCATGTGTTACTACATCTTAATCACATCTTTGTAAAGCCAGGAGCATTTTACAAGTCACGTTACAGACATTGTTTAAACATAGTCTGTATTTACCAAAGTATAGGACATTGTATCATCTCATATTAATTAGTTAGTTGGCTCAAAATTAGTGCTAATGACTTAGTAATTCAGTGATTTCTGTTAGCTTTAAAACCTTTATTTCAGAACTATTTCACCTCTTGGTTTTCATTTTTGTGGTGTGTCACTGCCTGCCGGCTGCTAATTGATTAACTCCCAGTGAATCATGTCCTGTGAAGGGACTGAATATTAGTGGCAATTTATGTTGATGATTTGTATTTTGAATAAATAGTTTGAATACATAGAACATTAAGCTTGTATACATTTTGAAAATAGTATTTTAATATTCTACTGTGTCATAGTTACAATGATTGGATATATGTTGAATTTATATGTACTTTAAGTTGTTCTATGTTTATGGTCTTTAGCATTCTAACGTGCAATTGTATATCTGTTAAGTCTTTTTTTTTTCGAGATTAGACTGATTTATTGAGGCGTCTGTTTGATGCCACATTAAGTGGCCCAGGCTTTGTGTAGGGTTGAGGTTAAAGCAGGAAGAAGGGTGGTGAGAGGCGGGGCACCAGGGTTAGGTTGGAATACCTGGGGGTGCTCTGAGGCTCCCCAAGTTTCCCTGGTCTTGGCCGGCTGTGCTGCTGGCCTGGGCATCTGATGGGCCTGCAAGGGTGGTCCAGGGGCTAGGGCAGGGACTTTGGAGTGACGCCATTGGCTTTGAATCCAGACTCCTACACTTGGTAGCTGTGAACTCTCCATGCCTCAGGGACCTGCAGAACTGAGCTCTGTCTGAGCCAGGTTCCATCCAGGCACTGCGCATCCATCCAGAGGGGCACTGCCTCAGGCTGCTCGCTGTTCACTGCCTTCTCAAGCTGACCCTTGTCTGCTTCTAGGCCCTCACAATCCAGTGGAGGAGACGAAACTCATCTGCCTCTGTCCCTCTGGGCACGCCTCATGCCAGGTGCATCTGTGGACAGGGGCCATGCTCCTGGGCTTCCAAAGTTGGAGAAAGCTGCCAGGCTCAGGTGGGTACATCACAGCAGCTGCTGCCCTCTGAACACAGTGACAAAAGAACACTCTGGGCCTGGAGCCCTGGTCTGGGGCATTGGGCAAGGCTGTTGCACTTCTCTGATCCCATTTCCCCATCTGGAAAGTGCGCTGATTGTATCTCCCTGTGGGCACTGAGGGCTCAGTGTTAGTTTGAGAGCCAGCATCTGGGGTTTGGGCTGTAATTCCCCGTCAGCCCCATAGCTGCGGGGAACCAGGGACTTTGTTGGGATTACCCTAGGCATCAGTTTAGCTTCCTGCCCCTGGCTTGGGCTCAGCACCTGAAGTAGTCTAGGGGGTAGGTGGTGCTGGTGGGGGCTGGGGCTTTTACCCAGACTGAGGTCACACCCAGAGCCAGAAGTCTTGGTGCCTGCTCTGGGCAAAGGTGCCAGCCTGTGTGACAAGAGCGAAACTCCGTCTCCAAAACAAAAACAAAAAACCTTGCATCATTTCAAGGGGCTCACACCTCCCTAAGGGCCTGGTAATTGGCTGGCTCTGGCCTGCATCTGGCCCTGAGGGTGTAGGTAACACCCCACCTTACCTGGTTTCTTCCTGCCAGGGCCAATCTTCAGACCTCAGGACTTTACAGCCTATCCCACCTCCCCTCTGGCCAGCCTTGAGCCCTTGTGGGTCCAGCACTTTTTCCAGGCTGTCTCCTGGTTGTCCTTCTGCCTCGAGGCCTGGCTCATGCTGCTCCCCCTCCCACTCTCCAAGACCCACAAGGACCACTCCACACCCAGCTCAGCCCCATCCCCTCAGATAGTCCTTTCTCTTTCCTCAGGTGGCCAGGTGCATGTCTTGGTGTGAGGACCTTCGCTGTATCTGGGAATGCCTACTGGTTACCTTGGTAACAGAGAACAAGGCATTTACCTGATATGAGTGTCGTGGTTCACTGTCTACATGGCTAGGGAGGGAATCAATAATAGGCTTTTCACTTGCTGCAAGGGCCGGTTCTCCTGGCCCCATGGCTCTAGGGATGGAGGACGCTGCAGGAGATGCAGCGCTCACTTCCTAGCTGAGGACTGTGGGTCATCTCAGGGCGATTTCACAGTCCCCACATGCCCCACCCCCTCAGCTCTGCAAATACCAAGCAGTGCAGCCTGCCTAGGGGATGATGGGCTCGAGAGTGCCCAGGTAGTGCCCAGAGTGCCCTTGGCAGGCCCCTCACCTGGCTGCTTCCACAGCTCTGTAGCAAGAGTTCTAACCTTTTTTCACCGTGAAGCCTGCTGAGAATAAGAGCTGTGGACTGTTTTCCCAGAAAGGCATGTACATGCTCTCCACACAAAACCTTTCATCGTGGCCAAGCACAGTGGCTGATGTGATCCCAGAACTTTGGGAGGCGGAGCCAGTCGGATCACCTGAGGTCAGGAGTTCAAGACCAGCCTGCCCAACATGGCGAAACCCTGTCTCTACTAAAAATACAAAAAATTAGCCAGGCGTGGTGGCAGCCACCTGTAATCCCAGCTACTCCAGAGGCTGAGGCAGGAGAATCACTTGAACCTGGGAGGCGCAGGTTGTAGTGTGGTGAGATCACACCACTGCACTCCAGCCTGGGCGACAGGAGCGAAACTCTGTCTCAAAAAACAAAACAAAACAAAACCTTGCATCCTTTCAGGGGGCTCACACCTCCCTAAGGGCCCAGTAATTAAACCCTTTGGGCCTGAGGGTGAGAAACTTTGTCTCAGTTCTTCCCCAAGTGATCAGCCCAGGGGTAAGGAAGGAGAAGCCAGAAAGCAGGACCCATGAGAAGGGCCCCCTCCTGGAGTTTGAGGCCCACTCCCTCCTGCCCCTGCCTCTCCTCTGTGCAGGACTCCTCCCTGCTCTGCCCCACTCCTGGGGCCATAACCATGGGGAGCTGTGGTTTTCTACAGGCCCCTGGGCACAAAGTGGGCAGGCTCACCTGGAGGCGATCAGAGTAACATGGCAGGAAGTGAGGGGGAAAGCCGCCCTGGAACTGCGCCTCTCTGCCCCCTGACGTCACTGGCGTGCACTCCTCCCTCCCCTCAGGCAGTGGCATGAGTTCCATGTGAGCGCTGTCCTGCTCCCTCTGCTGCCTCTTTTTTTTCTTGGGGCTGCCATAACACTTTCCCTTCCCCAGCCCTGCCAACCTGGTGGGACATTGGGCTTCCCTCTCACAGGGTCCTGGGGACAGGCCCATCCTTTATCATACCCACAGAGAGACCGTTTTTTTCTTCAGAACCTGGGGAGCAGCCAGGTTCCATGAGTTAAATGCAGATCTGAACCAAGCTGGGATTGGGGTACACACTCTCCTCTACTGAAAAGTAGCTAGGGATTCCAACTAGGTGAGAAGGAGAGTGGGGCAGAGCCAGACCAGACAAGGACTGATCACCTGGAAAAAGCCTGCCATCAAAGGTCTTGGCAAATGCTGGGTGCAGTGGCTCACTCCTGTAATACCAGCACTTTGCGGGGCTGAGACAGGTGGACTACTTGAGGCAAGGAGTTCGAGTCCAGCCTGGGCAACATGGCAAAACCGCATCTCTACTAGAAATACAAAAATTAGCTAGGCATGCTACACTCCTGTCATCCCAGCTACTCAGGAGACTGAGGCAGGAGAATCACTTGAACTGGGGAGGCAGAGGTCGAAGTGAGCCGAGATTGTGCCCCTGCACTCCAGTCTGGGAGACAGAGTGAAACTGGCCTCAAAAAAAAAAAGAATATGGCCTTGGCAGAGAGGGGCCAGCCCAGTAGTGCCTTCCCTTGGGTTTCTCCTGGGTAGGCCTCTGCCATGAGGAGGTGCTTCCTTCTGCCTGTCCATGGCCCACAGCAATGGAATGTCTGTTTCTGGGGGTTGGGTGGGAGAGTGCTGGCAGAACTGGAAACCTTCAGGTGGGGTTTTTTTGTTTTGTTTTGTTTTCGAGATGGAGCGTCGCTCTGTCACCCAGGCTGGAGTGCAGTGGTGGAATCTCAGTTCACTGCAACCTCTGCCCCCCTGGGTTCAAACAATTCTCCTGTCTCAGCCTCCTGAGTAGCTGAGATTACAGGCATGTGCCACCATGCCCGGCTAGTTTTTGTATTTTTTGTATAGATGGCATTTCACCATGTTGGCTGGGCTGGTCTCGAACTCCTGACCTCAAGTGATCCACCCATGTCGGCCTCCCAAAGTGCTGGGATTACAGGCATGAGCCACTGAGCCCAGCCCCTTCAGGGGGGTTTTGAGGCTTCACTACAATACTAGTTTCCTGTGGCTGCTGCAACAAATTACCACACACTTAGTGACTTAAAACAACCAAAATGTATTCCCTTACAGGTCTGAAGGCCAGAATTCTACAGTAAGTCCTACTGAGTCAAGGTGGGAGCAGGGTCGGTAGCTTCCGAGGCTCTGCGGGAGAATCCGTTTCCTGGCCGTAGAGGTGGCCTGCACTCCTCAGCTTGTGCTGCCCGTCTCGAATGACTGGAGTTTCCTGCTTCTGTCACTACACCTCCCACCCTCTCCATCACCTGCTCTGCTCTTACAAGGATCCGAGTGAGTACATCAACCCCAAAAGCCAAAGACCCTTAACTTCATTATATCTGCAAAGCTCCTTTTGCCATATAAGGTCATGTTCACCAGTTCCCGGGATTAGGATATGGGCATCTTGGGGGCATCAGCCTGCTACAGCTAGGCTGCAAAACTGTTACACCCTCCTGGTGTTTCAATGATTGGGAGAAAAAGGGTTGGCATTTTTTGCTTGGGGGTCCCTCTTAAACTTGTATCTGTAAGGTCGGGGGTCCCTCTTAACCTTGTGTTTTTGTTTTTGTTTTTTTTTGAGGTGGAGTCTTGCTCTGTCATCCAGGCTGGCAGTGGCGTGATCTTGGCTCACTGCAATGTCTGCCTCCTGGGTTCAGGTGATTCTCCTGCCTCAGCCTCCTGAGTAGCTGGGACTACAGGCGCCCGCCACCATGCCCTGCTGTTTTGTATTTTTGGTAGGGACGGGGTGGGGGTGGGGCTAGGGAGGGGGGTTTTGGCTATGTTGCCCTGAGCTCAAAGTGATCCGCCTGCCTCTGCTGCCAAAGTGCTGGGATTACAGGCCTGCACCACTGCACCCGGCTGCTGTAAAGTCTTATTTCACACAGCTGAGACATGTTTTAGGAAGTTTGCTAAAAGACCCCTGGAGACCGCCTCATTGTGACCTCCCTGTTATTGTGTTTAATTTGATTGAACTTTTCTGCCCTCCTGCTTTTCAGCTTCTCTAATAGTCTCCCATTAAACCAATTCTAAGAACCACCAAGAAGGGGAAATTTTTTCTTGAAAGCAGTAAAATGATATGGACTGTTAGAATGTAAAATATATGAAATCAGTCATTATACGTTAGTGCTGCTCTGACATAGGGACGTGTTATTGAGAAGCAACTTTTGCTTGGTTTTCAGAGAAATGGAATCATCGTATCGCTGATCTACGTAAACAAACTGAAGAATTGTCTGAAAGAAAATATGGTATGTCTAAACTGGAAAAGTCTTGTAATCTTATGTTCATGGGCGTTTACACAGTGGAGTTACTGTTCATCATGGGGGTACCGTGGACAAGCCCAGGGCTGCCGGCGAGTCATGCCATCCTTACATGTTTCTCCTTGTAAGGTGCTTTGTAGTGTCTACACACTTTGTTTCTAGATTGCTGCAAAGCTGAGGAAAAGTTGTATTTCTTTAGTTATTAGTTAGCATTTCTTTTAAACTTTCAGTATGGAGATTGGAAATTTATTTACATATTTATTGCAAAGCCCTGGATCTTAGGAATTTCATTGAATTATTTATTTATTTTTTTTGAGACGGAGCCTCACTCTGTCACCCAGGCTGGAGTGCAGTGGCACGATCTCGGCTCACTGCAACCTCCGCCTCCCGGGTTCAAGCAGTTCTCTGCCTCAGCCTCCCGAGCAGCTAGGATTACAGGCACCAGCCACCACGCCTGGCTGATTTTTGTATTTTTAGTAGAGACGGGGTTTCATGATCTTGGCTAGGCTGGTCTTGAACTGCTGACCTCCTGATCCACTCACCTCAGCCTCCCAAAGTGCTGGGATTATAGGTGTGAGCCACCATGCCTGGCCAAATATTATTTTTTTAAATGAATTGTTTCTCTTAGTCTGCTTTGTTAAATTTGGAATTCATCTGGGCGCGGTGGCTCACACCTGTAATCCCAGCACTTTGGGAGGCCAAGGCAGGCAGATATCTAGGTCGGGAGTTCGAGACCAGCCTGACCAACATGGAGAAACCCCGTCTCTACTAAAAATACAAAATTAGACGGGTGTGGTGGCGCATGTCTGTAATCCCAGCTATTCGGGAGGCCAAGGCAGGAGAATCGCTTGAACCCAGGAGGCAGAGGTTGCAGTGAGGCGAGGTTGGCACCATTGCACTGTAGCCTGGGCAAAAAGAGCAAAACTCCATCTCAAAATAAATAAATAAATAAAATGTTCAGTACTCACCAAGGTGCCCCTGTTGTCTCTACTTTTATCTTGATGCATCACTGAATTGATGTTAGATTTCAAATTCATCATTGCCCTGATACTATTCTATCCTGAAGCCACCTTTATATAGTGATGAAAGAAATTAGCGATTTGTTATTATCCTCTCTCTGTTGGTATACATCAAATACTCACCTAAAAAAGAGCAACAACCAGTGGAAAACATGATGTTTTTATTTGGGTGACTATTTACTTGTAACCTACTAGCAAACTATAAAATTGTATGATATGCAGAATTTTAACTGAATTGCTTTAAGTGAACATTTAAGCATGATAAACAATATTGATGGTATTTATGTTAATATACTTAAAATGAACATTTTTCTTCATCATGAGTAATATAACCTACTCCTCAATGAAAACCTAGCACTAAATTTGCTAATGAATTCAATAACATTTCCATAATATTTTTAGTTACATGCTTAAGGTTCTCTTAGTGTTTCTCCCACTTTTTAATAGCTTATGCCTTTTTCACCTTTGGTTTTTTTTTGGTTCATTTTAAAGCAAAAATCTCACAACATGTGATATCTGGAAACACTGTAACCTAGTGGTAAGACCATAGGCCCTGGGGACACAGGCTGGCCACGTCTCTTCTCCTGTCTGAGCTTTAGTATCCTCTTTTGTGGTCATGAGAACTGAAGATCTGTCCCGAAGATTTGATAAGATAGTAAAGTGCTTCACATAATACCAGACATATAAATACACAGTAAATGCTTCCTCCTTATATTTTTATTGATTGATTGATGGAGACAGAATCTTGCTCTCTTGCCCAGGCTGGAATGCAGTGGCGTGATAATGGTTTCTGCAACCTCCACCTCCTGGGTTCAGGCAATTCTCCTGCCTCAGCCTCCCGAGTAGCTGGGATTACAGGTGCCTGCCACCATGCCCAGCTAATTATTGTACTTTTAGTACAGACGGGGTTTTACCATGTTGGCCAGGCTGGTCTCGAACTCCTGACCTCATGATCTGCCTGCCTCGGCCTCCCAAACTGCTGGGATTACAGGTGTGAGCCACTGTGCCCAGCCTGTCTTTTCTCTTCACACCCGCAGTTCATGATGAAATATTAAATATGTACTAGTGGATATTACTTTGCTGAATATTGCCTAATGAATATTAAGTATTTATTCTCACCTTTCAGACATGAACTTATGAATTCAACAGGTGAAGATTTACAACTTGATAAATCAACTTTGTCAGGTACGTCTTCAGTCAAGTCAGATTAGAAGATTATGTGAGGTAATTAACACTTAACATTGATTTAATGGTAGCTTCCACATGAAATAGTATGCCTCTAAGTATTAATTATGTCCTAGGACAGGAGAATTCATGTTGTCAAAATTCTCATACTCTCTAGAACAATAAACTCATTTTCTTTTTATTAGTAAATATTGCATTTATGGGTAGACAAAACTGAAAGAACAATATTTGTTCTACTTTTGAGATGCAAGATTCATCTGGTATAATGCATTGAACAGGTTATTATTGAAGTCTACACCAGTCAACTGAATAAGCATTCATCAAATGTCCATGATATGCAGGACATAAGTTTTCTTTTAGAGTATGGAACCATGCATATTATCTTTTAATTAGATGATTTAGTTAGATATGTTTTTAAAGAACTAGAAATATAATTGATTTTCTTGTTTTGGCTCTGGAGTGGAGTGGGGACGAAACAGAATGGATTCACACTTGTTTAGATTTACTAAAATGGAAAGATTGCAGCAAGATCATATCCCTAGTCTCCCTACTCCCTATAGCAAATGTCACCTGCTAGCTGTTTTTTTTTTTTTTTTTTTTTTTTTTTTTTGGAGGTTGAAGTTTTGTTCTGTCACCCACGCTGGAGTGCAGTGGTATGATCTCAGCTCATGGCAAGCTCACCTCCTGGGTTCAAGCAATTCTCCCTGCCTCAGCCTCCTAAGTAGCTGGGATTACAGGCCTCTGCCACCACGCCTGCCTAATTTTTGTATTTGTAGTAGAGTTGGGGTTTCACCATGTTGGCCAGGCTGGCCTTGAACTCCTGACTTCAGGAGATTCACCCGCCTCAGCCTCCCAAAGTGCTTGGGATTATGGGTGTGTCACTGCACTTGGATTTAATGGGATATTTCACTACAGACTTCGGTAAACAGAATATTAGCATTTTTGGTGTTCTTTTTATTTTACTCATACTGTTTTTCTTTGGACTCAATCACAATAACAGAATTAAAGATCAAAGTGTAAAAGTTAAAGACCAGTACAGATTCAATAATTATTCTTTTCTACATACCGTGTTTAAATGATATCCCTTTTTCTTTTTGTTCTTATAGCTCGAGCTGTAAAAGCCAAAGGTCCGGTGATGATCCCATACCCTTTTTTCCAGTCTCATGTTGAAGATTTTTATGTAGAAGGCCTTCCCAAAGGAATTTTTTTTTTTTTTTTTTTTTTTGAGATGGAGTTTTCACTCTTATCGCCCAGGCTGGGGTGCAATGGCGCAACCTTGCTGGTCACTGCAACCTCTGCCTCCTGGGTTCAAGAAATTCTCCTGCCTTAGCCTCCCAAGTCACTGGGATTACAGGTGCCCACCACCACACCAGGCTAATTTTTGTATTTTTAGTGGAGATGCGGTTTCACCATGTTGGCTGGGCCAGTCTCGAACTCCTGACGTCAAGTGATCTTCCCGCCTCGACTCCTGATATCAAGTGATCTTCCCGCCTCGGCCTCCCAGAGTGCTGAGATTACAGACGTGAACCCATGCCTGGCCAGGAATTTTGTTTTTTAGGAAGGCTTTCTACTAATGGAATTCCTGGCCTTGAGAGGATGTTACTTTAGAAGGAAAGGATTTTTTTGTTATTAAAAGGTAAGATTCCTGGATTCTTATTGGACTGTTCAATCTCTGTTATGAGTAATCCATCTTTAGTCATTCACCACTAGGGTTGTATTTAATTAAGTCTGAGTTATTTTATGGTGGTTTTGTTTTGTTTTGTTTTGTTTTGTTTTTACCGAATTTTGTTCTCATTGCCGTGGCTTGAGGGCAATGACGTGATCTCAGGTCACCACATTCTCTGCCTTCCAGGTTCAAGCAATTCTCCTGCCTCAGCTTCCTTAGTAGCTGGATTTACAGGCATGCGCCACCATGCTTGGCTAATTTTTTGTATTTTTAGTAGAGATGGTGTTTCACCATGTTGACCAGGCTGGTCTAGAACTCCTGACCTTGGGTGATCCACCCGCCTCGGCCTCCCAAAGTGCTGGGATTACAGGCATGAGCCACTGCGCCCAGCCTGGGCCTGCTTCTTTCTCTTTTTCTTTTTTTTTCATTAGCAGCTTAAAATTGGTGCCTTATTCAGACACAAGCAAAAGGACATTAGCCCAGCTTTGGAAATAGGTGAGAGCCCATATATGATTTTCCTAGTTTCTCCTCCCCCTTTGCTTTTTGCTCTCTTGTTAGTATATTAATTGTTTTCACTCTCTGAATCTTTTTTCCCCATTTCTTTGGCAGTCATTTTTACTTGTCTTGGAAGAGTAGGTGAAGAGCTGTTTTTAGGACTCTTTGAAAGGGTACAGTATGGGTGTCAGTCTTGGCTAATGGTAACATCCAGGGAGCTGGGGTCAGCGTGAGCTGGAATCAGTTCAAATTAGCAAAGCACTGGCACTCAGTGGCAGGAATACAAGTGACTGCAAAGTGTTAAACACATCTGGAAAGGGATACTGACATCATCCTCAGAATCTGTGGGGAGTTCACATAGCCAGTTAGGACCCATTCTTCTTTGACCCTATAAAGATTCTTTAAAGAATAAATACCCTTAGTGGTTTTCTAGCCAGCTTGCCTGCTCATTTATCTTTGAGGACGACATGCCTTGTGGAGCTCCACAGGCCCCAGAGGGGTATGGATTCTGCATTTAAAAGTGCTGAAGCTGAGAGACTGGGTCTTGGTGGACCCCGAGAGGTCTGTTTCTCCTCTACTCATTGTTCCTTTTTTTCCCAACAGCTGGCATTGCTGTTTAAATGGGTTGTTCTTTGCTGTTTTAAGTTGTTTCATAGTGGTGTGTCAGGATTTGGGTTTTCTTAATACTTTCCAAGCTGGTGACTTGAGTGGTGGTTAGGGAGGAAATGTTTTAGGGCTGTTCTGGAGCTATTGAGGTCAGGTGTCTAGATACTCCCAGCTTGTCTGTTGAGGAGAATGCTGTTCTCATTGTGCTGCCTTTGGTGGTGCTGTGTGTGGCTCTTTAGATGTGCGTGGAGGTGAGCTGGGGGAGTTAATGAGATCTTTTTTAGGTGCTTTTGATAAAGTAGCCTGCACTACAGGATTCACTGTGACTTTTTTCCTTAACCTATGCATTTCTCTCTGCTAGCTTTTGCTGTCTTTCTCATGCCTTTGATTTTCCCAGCTCCTCTTAGTTGAATTAACCTAAGTGCTCTGCTATGGTTTAAATGTGTCCCCCAAAGTTTATGTGCTGGAAACTCAATCCTCAATGCAACAGTTGGGATGTGGGGCCTAATAAAATAGCCTTCATGAATGAGTTAATGTTGTTATTGTGGTAATAGATTAGTAATCACAGAGTGGGCTTATTATAAAACAGAGTTCAGCCCCTTTTGCCCTCTTGCTTTCTTGCACTCTCTTTTCCTTCTGCCTTCTGTAGTGGGATGATGCAGCAAGAAGACCCTTACCAGATGCAGGCCCCTCAACCTTGGACTTCCTAACATCCAGAACTGTTAAGAAATAAAATTTATTCCTTTCCTTTCCTTTTCTTCCTCCTTTCCCTTCTCTTCCCTTTTCTTCCCTTCCCCTCCCTCCCTCTCTCTCTCCCTCCCTCCCTCCTTCCCTCCCTTCCTCCTTCCCTCTTTCTCTCTTTCCCTTCCTTCCTTTCCTTCTTTCCCTTCCTTCCTTTCCTTCCCTCCTTCCCTTTTTCCCTCCTTCCCTCCTCCCTTCCTTTTTTCTTTCCTTCCTTTTTTCCTTTTTATAAATTATGCAGTCTGTGGTATTCTTTTATAGAAGCATGAAATGGACAAAGACTCCATTTTCAAGAGCAAGCACTTTTGTAGTTTCTGAGCGAACTATGACTGCAAAGGAAGTTCTATAGGTAGCCTCAGATCCACTACCTAGGAAGCATGCCACCAAGCAGACCTAGGATCTAGGATTTGATCAAGTGCTGGGCAACATGATACCTCTGCAATTTAGCACTTCCCTATATACCTCCAGTTGGCTCAGCCCATTAGGGCTAAAACTACCCCTCATATCCTAGTGTCTCTTGTAGGCAGAAGCCTTGCCTAAACCCTAAGCTGCTTGGCTCACATTCTGTCTTGTGCTTTTTTTGTAGGGGGTTCAAATATACACAAAAGAAATATGTTGAACCTCCATGCACCCAACCCGCAGATTAAGCAGTTACCTCCATTTTTCCAGATTTGTTTCATCTGCTTCAATCTCCCTAAAAATTTATGTTTGTACAGGAAAGACTGAATAAATAGCTAATTCTCCACCCTACCTCTCATCTTAAGTCACTTTTCAGAGTAGTAAGTTAGTGACCTAGTAACCTTCCCTCTAATGACCAGTAGTTTTTTTTTCTGAATACCATTATGAACTCATAGATTATTGTTTGCATTTGATGTATTTCAGGCCATTGCAGTCTTTATTGTTTTGGATGCTTACATTGTCTCATCTAGGTTAATAATTATCTCTTCAAGTTGACTTTCATGTCTTTTTGACGTGATCCTGTTGGACTTTGATGGCTTCCTTGCTTTCTGGCAAAACAGATGTTCCAGGATCAATATACTGCACCATACATGGAGTCAGCCATTTCTCTAGGGAACCTTGATTCCTTTTAGTAGAGAACACAGTTTGAGGTCTTGGACTGAATGACTTTTGTGAACCTCCTCTCCTGAGACTACAGCCTGCATCCCTGCATATAGCCCGTTTGGAGCTCTTGCTGGGCACCAACAGATCTCCTAAAACTGCTATATAGTTCTGCCTCACTCTTACAAAGATTCATCTCTTGAGAGTTTTGTGCTCTACCCCCAGATGTGGTCTTTCTGGTTATGAAGCTTTTGCTTCAGTCACCCTGAATTTTGCCAGCCCTATGCATGCTATACCTTGGATTGCCAACTTGCCCTCACTGAAGCCAGTTTCTCTGGTTAGAATAGTTGCCCAAACCCATGCCTAATACTCTAGTAAACAAGGTTCTACCTGGGCTTAGGTTAACTTTTGCTCCTTTGGGCCCTGTGTTCTACCAGCATTCCATTTATCTGAAACTCTCCCTCACCTTAAGAACTTATCTGTTCTTTAATGATTTACTGCTGCTTCCTGGGCTCGAAAGAACCCAGTTCAGGAGTTTCTGTTTTAGTTTGAGATCTTATAGGCCTGTCTCATCAGGTTGGTGTCAGCCCAGCTAGGATTAGGCAGAATTGGGTGGGGGCTGTAGTGCATTTTTGGCACAGCATGTACCTGTCTGACTAATTCTCTGTCTTTTCTTTCCTGTTGCAATTCATGGGTCTTAGCATCTTCTGAATGGTGTTTAGTAGGTCATCCTGTTGATTTCCTGCTAGGGAGTAGCATACTCTGGCCCTGTACCATTGGCCAAGGGACTTAAGGATAGATGAAGGGCTGCAGTTTTGTTAAATGGAACAATATGAAGAGATGGCATTGTTAAAAAAAAAAAAAAAAAGGCTTGGCAGCATGGCCCATTTGAATGGTTGGTCCTTGGCTCCTTTGTTGATATAGGCAGATCCTTGATGGGAATTTGGAATGATCCCAAATATTGTAGATCACTGGTACATCAAGTCATCCTCAAGGTTGTCTGTGTAACAGTCTTGAATGATATTTTGTCAGTCTTTGGAGAGTCTCTGTATAGGGTTTAATCATTTAGTTATTTCAGTTGAGCCTGTTTAGTTTCTTTGCAAGGAGATAAGAAATGTGAAAGAGATGCAGACATTAGGGAAAAAAAGTCAGGAGCCTTGTTTCCCCATCCTCTACTTGGGTTCTGGAACTAGACTCATAGGTGAGTAGTGAGGAGCTGGGCCCAAGCACATTAATCCTAGATCTAGCTCTGCTTTGCCCTCGCTCCAGTTCTTGTATCAAATTCACTTCAAGCCACCCAGAGTAGTATGTAGAGGAGTCATTCAGGACCATGCTCATACTTCATTGTATCAAATGGGAGATCCAGTAATTTATAGCCTATTGTTTCTGGAGCCTGGAGATGGCTCTGCATAAGATTTGCCGAAGCAAATTTTATTACATTAGAAGAGAACCTAGCTGGCTGCATCCTACACTGGAAGCTTTTAGATGCTAATAAGGAGGTCATGTAAAGGTCACAGAATGACTCTGGAATCCATTCCCCGCCAAGAAAGAATAATGACATTCTATGTTGGCCTCTTTTCATTTCCCTTTGGTTTTGAGTAATAAATTCTCTCCTCACTTCCCAGTCGAACTGTTTGGGAGTCTCTATTCCCTAGAAAGACTCTGGTCACATACCCATCAGATTAAATTAGGTGAAAACTCTTTGGCCTTCATGAATGTTGAAGGATTTCAAAGGGCTAATGGAAATTCTTCTAGAAGTAACTGCAACCTCCGCCTTCCGGGTTCAAGCGATTTTCCTGCCTCAGCCTCCCAAGTAGCTGGGATTACAGGTGTCCACCACCATGCCCAACTAATTTTTGTATTTTTAGTAGAGACGGGGTTTCACCATGTTGGCCAGGCTGATCTAGAACTTTTGACCTCAGGTGATCCGCCCGCCTCAGCCTCCCAAAGTGCTGGGATTACAGGCGTGATCCACCGCGCCCAGTTAAACTTCAGTTTTTCATGTTCCATGCATTGGTCAGGGTCTTAGGGAGTGATTCATTCTAGCAGAACTCCCTGGATTTTAAGGCAGATGTTCCATTTATTAATTGACAAAGGAGGCATATTTCTCCCCTGGTAACCCAAAGATTTAGGTCATTTTCCCAGAGACTCCATTTCCACTGTGAGGGTTCTTGGAAAACTAAGCAGAGGATGAGGAAAAGTCTGTGAACAAGCTTGCTGGTCTCTCCCTGTCCTACAAAAGAGCATACCTCTTCTGTAACCAGAAGGCCCTTTTGATTAGTCAAGGCTGGACAGAGTGAGATTGGGTGTGTGTGTGTGTGTGTGTGTTTGTGTGTGTCTTGAGACAGGGTCTCACTCTGTCACCAAGGCTAGAGTGCAGTGGTGAGATCAGAGCTCACTGCAGCTTCCACTTCCTGGGCTCAAGCGATCCTCCTATTTCAGCCTCCAGAGTAGCTGGGACTATACGAATGTTTTACCGCACCCAGTTCATTTTCTAATTTTTTGTAGAGATGAGGTTTCACTGTGTTGCTCAGGCTGGTCTTGAACTCCTGGCCTCACGGAATCCTCCTGCCTTAGTCTCCCAGTGGGCTGGGATTATAGGTATGAGCCACCTCACCTGACCTGCGACGATTTTTCAATGATGTAATTTCTCTTTTACAGAGCCACCTAAGCTGAAGATTCCCTTGAGAACAAGTACTGTCCCTAGTTTCCCAGTGCTGGAATATAGAAAATGGATGGACAAGTAAATCCCACTCAGCACCCATAGTCCAGGCATGGGGACCTCAACACACCTGAGCCCCAGACATCACCTTTCATTGTGAGTAGCTCTGAGATGACACTTCTGCTGTTCCCAATTCCAGCATTAATTGGATTAGATAGTTATTTTATGAAGAATTTTCATATGCCACAATCCTGACCATATCTTCAAGTGAACAGAAAAATTCTATTAAAAAGTCAACCTTCTGTCTCACTCTGTTGCCCAGACTGGAGTGCAGTGGTGCAATTATGGCTCACTGCAGCCTCAACCTCCTGGGCTCAAGCAATCCTCCTGCCTCAGCCTCACAAGTAGCTGGGACTACAGGTGCTTGTCACCACACCTCACTAATTTTCCCATTTGTGTTATATGTGGATTCCACAGGACTGACTTCGAAAACTTGAGTATGCGTGGATTTTGGTATACACAGAAATGGGAGAGCTGGAACTAATCCCCCCATATACCAAGGGACAAATTGTATCTGTTTCTACAATTATACAGTAGGAGACATTATGTTCCATGACAATGGTAATTTTTAACGACAGTTTTTAATTGAGTGAAATTACCATAAAAATAATAATAGTAGCAGCTAATATTTACTGAGCTGTTACTAGGTGCCTATAAATAGCATAGATTTTTAAATTCTCCATAATTCTTCCTTATTTCACTTAACCACTCTATCTTAAATTACTCATGCTTGCCTCAGTAGCACACATACTTAAGTTGGAACAATAGAGAGATTGGCACGGCCTCTGTGAAAGAATGACATGCAAATTTGTGAAGCATTCCATATTTTTTTAAAAAAAGAGAAAAAAATTACTCCCAGATTTTCACTGTGTTTGTGCATATGACCTTTTGTTTAGGTTGAATTATATCCAAAGGTGAAATTTCCAGAAGTGAGATTACTGTGAGTCACAGGGCATGAGCATTCTTATTACCCTCGATGTAAATTGCAAAGCTTTCAGGCATGGTGGCTGTCAGCCTGTAATTCCAGCACTTTGGGAGGCTGAGGTGGGAGGATTGCTTGAGGCCAGGAGTTGGAGGAGGCAGTATAATGAGTCACTGTCTGTATGATTTAAAAAAAATTTCCAAGCTTTATGCTGGAAGGCTTATATACATTTTAAACACCACTAATACTACAAGAAAATGGCCATTTCACTGCACCTTCGCCCACACAGGTATTATAATTTAACAAGTTATTTTCTGTGTGATAAATGAAAGACCTCCTATTATTACTTTGTCACCCATTCTTTTTTCTTTTTTGAGACACAGTCTCGCTCTGTCGACCAGGCTGGAGTGCAGTGGTGTGATCTCGGCTCACTGCAACCTGTGCCTCCCAGGTTCAAGCGATTCTCCTGCCTCAGCCTCCTGAGTAGCTGGGATTACAGGCATATGCCACCATGCCTGGTTAATTTTTGTATTTTTAGTAGAAACGTGGTTTCACCATGTTGATCAGGCTGGTCTCGAACTCCTGATCTCGTGATCTACCCGCCTTGGCCTCCCAAAGTGCTTGATTACAGCTGTGAGCCATGTGCCCAGCCTATTTGTCACATATTTTATCTTTCCTTATGTTAGCTTATTAGCTTTATTTCTTTATTGTCCTTTTTTTTTTTTTTTGAGATGAAGTCTCGCTCTGTCTCCTAGGCTTCAGTGTAGTGGCACAGTCTCAACTCACTGCAGCCTTGACCTCCTAGGCTCAGGTGATCCTTCCACCTCAGTAGTTGGGACTATAGGCACATGCCACTATGCCTGGCCAATTATTTTTATTTTTTTATTTTTACTAGAGAGGAGGTCTTGCTTTGTTTCTTAGGCTGGTCTGGAACTCCTGGCCTCAAGCAATCCCCCCACCACCCCCTCCCAAAGTACTGGTATTATAAGCATGAGCCACCATGCCTGGGGTATCTGTGTCTTTTCCATTTATTTATAGAGTTACTTTGTCTTTTACTAATTCAATGATCTGTTTAATCTTTTATTAAATTATAAAAATGATAAATACTTTTAAATAAGTGAAAAATGTCCTTCACTCTTTAGACCCATAATCTTATCTCAGGAAATAATTGCAGTTGAGAAAATGGGCCATATCCTTCAAGATACGTACATGGTGATTGAACATCACTTCATATTTTCATATTTCGTGGACATTTGTGCCAATACCTATTGATCTATCTTAATCCTTTTCATGGTTGCATAATATTTTATTATATGGATGTATCACAATTTACCAGTACCAGTCAACTGCTGGAGGCATTTAGGCTCCTTCTAATATTTGCTTTGAGCTCTTTATATAATTAAAAATTAACCCCCTCAGCCAGGTGTGGCAGCTGACACCTGTAATCCCAGCATTTTGGAAGGCTGAGGTGAGAGAACTGCCTGAGTGTAGGAGATCACCACCAACCTGGTCAACATAGTGACACTTTGTCTCTACTAAAAATTAAAAAAAAAAAATGAGCTACACGTTGCAGTGCACACCTGTAGTCCGAGCTACTGGGGAGGCTAAGACTGGAGGATCACTTGAGTCTAGAAGGTTGAGGCTGCAGTAAGCTATGATCACACCATTGCACTTTAGCTTTGCTAAGAGCAAGACTGCATTTCTTAAACAAAATAAAAATTAGATGGGAATATTGCTCAAGCCCTGGAGGTTGAGGCTGCAGTTAACTGTGATTGCACCACTGCAGTCCAGCCTAGGTGATAGAGCAAGACCCTTTCTCTAAAAATAAAATAAAATAAAAATTAACCTTCTATCATATTTCCCAGTAACACCTTCCCTCCTACATTTCTCCTAGAAGCCCTTAAATTTTGTTTTTCACATATCGTTTAAAACTTTTAAGTGCTGATGTCTGTCTGTGTCATCCCTCTTTTTTTTTTTTTTTAAATGTCTTTTTGTCACTTCTAGCTGGACCTACCATGAAAGACTTCTGAATCCAGGAAGAGAAACTGACTGGGCAACATGTTATTCAGGTACAAAAAGACTTGGACTGTAACTCAAAAATGATCAAATAATAGTGCATGCATCAAGTGCAATCGGAAGCTCTTCTGGAGAGGGAGAGAAGCTTCCAGTTAAGGTGACATTGAAGCCAAGTCCTGTAAGATAAGGAAGAGTTGTATGAGAGTGGGGAGGGAAGGGGGAGGTGGAGGGATGGGGATTGGGCTGGGATGGGATGGAGTGAGCTGCCCAGGCAGGGAAACCAGCACTATACAGACCTGAACAATGAAGATGGCACATTTTGTTCAGGGTATGGTGAATTAAGTGTGGCAGAAATGCTTTGTAGAGACAGTAATTTGCCTGTATGGAATTTTGCCCAAGAGACCTCATTACAGTTTCTAATTTTTTGATGTTATCATGCATCACTGCCCTTGTCAGATAGTATCATGATCACAATAACATCAAGCATAATATTTCATTGATTCTCACAAAAACAGGTGGGTGCCACAGTTATCCCCATTATATGCACAAAATGATGAAGACTTGGGGTTAATGAGCGATTTGCCCAAGCTCACCTGAATATTAGGACTGAGTCAAATGTTAGTCTGGTCTGACTTTAATGCTTGCCTTGTTCATGAGCACCATGCATTGCCTCTCCTATTAAGTTAAGCAGGTAGACAGGTGAGAGAAGAGCCAGTGTGATATCGGGGGAAATTCACCCCTGATATTTCATGTAGGTTCTTTTCTATTTTCCCTGAGTGTCAGCCAGTCTGAGAAATAAAGGGAAAGAGTACAAAAGAGAGAAATTTTAAAGCTGGATGTCCAGGGGAGACATCACACGTCGGCAGGTTCCGTGATGCCCCCCAAGCCGCAAAACCAACAAGTTTTTATTAGTGATTTTCAAAAGGTGAGGGAGTGTACGAATAGGGTGTGGGTCACAGAGATCACATGCTTCACAAGGTAATAAAATATCACAAGGCAAATGGAGGCAGGGCAAGATCACAGGACCACAGGACTGGGGCGAAATTAAAATTGCTAATGAAGTTTCGGGCGCGCATTGTCATTGATAACATCTTATCAGGAGAAAGGGTTTGAGAGCAGACAACCCATCTGACCAACATTTATTAGGCGGGAATTTCCTTGTCCTGATAAGCCTGGGAGCGCCACGCGAACCCAGGGCTTATTTCATCCCTTATCTATGACTGTAAAAGACAGCCGTCCCCAAAGCGGCCATTTCAGAGGCCTCCCCTTAGGGATGCATTCTCTTTCTCAGGGATGTTCTTTGCTGAGAAAAAGAATTCAGCAATACTTCTCCTATTTGCTTTTGAAAGAAGAGAAATATGGCTCTGTTCAACCCGGCCCACAGGCAGCCAGAGTTTAAGGTTATCTCCCTTGTTCCCTGAAATTGCTGTTATCCTGTTCTTTTTTCAAGGTGCCCAGGTTTCATATTGTTTAAACAACTTGTGCAGTTAACGCAATTATCACAGGGTCCTGCGGGGACATTCATCCTCAGCTTACGAAGATGAGCGGATTAAGAGATTAAAGACAGGCATAGAAAATCACAAGGGTATTGATTGGGGAAGTGATAAGTGTCCATGAAATCTTCACAATTTATGTTCAGAGATTGCAGTAATGACAGGCCTAAGAAATTATAGAAGTATTAATTTGGGGAACTAATAAATGTCCATGAAATCTTCACAATTTATATTCTTCTGCTGTGGCTTCAGCCAGTCCCTCCGTTTGGGGTCCCTGACTTCCTGCAACACGTTTCTCTCTACTCACAGACTTCTGACCAAATGTGTGTGCAGAGTTTCTACACCAGTTCTCCAACTCTCTGGATGCCAACCGCGTATCCCACAATTCCATTCTGACACTACCTAGAGTTAGCACAGAACCCACAGGTTAGGGGCTCAGTCCCACAAGACCACCCTCACTTCAGATGCCAGTTGCAAGTCCTAGGTTGTCACCTGTATTTTGACCAACCAGTTAGAAATCAGGGTTTCCCATGACCCTCTTGTTGAGTTTAATTATTTACTAGAACAACTCACAGAACTTAGAAAAACAAGTTTTTTTTCTTTTCTTTTTAAGAGACAGGGCCTCGCTCTGTTGTCCAAGCTGGTGTGCAGTGGTGCAATCATAGCTTATTGAAGCCTCAACATCCAGGGCTCAAGTGATTCTCCTGCTTCAGCCTCTCAAGTAGCTGGAATTACAGGGTTCCCACCACCACATTTGGCTAATTTCTTTTATTTTTTGTATAGATGGGGTCTTCTTATGTTGCCCAGGTTGGTCTCAAATTCCTAGGCTCAAGTGATTCCGCCCACCTCTGCCTCCCAAAGTGCTGGGATTACGGGCATGAGCCAGTGCATCTGGCCACCTTATTTTCTATTACTGGCTCAATGTAATGGCTCCATCTCAGGAACAGCCAATGAAAGAGATGCACAGGACAAGGTAAGTGGGGAGGGGCACAGAGCTTCCATGCCCTCTGTTGGGCACACTACCCTCCCAGGACCTCCTTGTGTTTAGCAACACAGAAGCTCTCCAAACCCTGCTGTTTGGGTGTTTATGGAGGCATGATTGATAAAATCACTGGCCATTGGTAGTTAAGTCAATCTCCAGTTCCTTTTGCCTCCTGGAGTTCAGCAGGTGAGGCTGAAAGTTCCAAGCCTCAAAAAATGTGGTTGGGGCCAGGTGCGGTGGCTCACTCCTGTAATCCTAGCAGTTTGGAAGGCTGAGGCACATGGACCACTTGAGGTCAAGAGTTTGAGACCAGCCTGACCAACATGGTGAAACCCCGTTTCTACTAAAAATAACAACAGTTAGCTAGGCATTGTGGCACACCCCTATAATTCCAGCTACTCGGGAGGCCGAGGCAGGAGAATTGCTTGAACCCGGGAGGTGGAGGTTGTAGCGAGCTGAGATTGTGCCATTGCACTCCAGCCTGGGCTACAAGAGCCAAACTCTGTTTTAAAAAAAAAATGTGGTTGCTTTCTCTGGCAGCTAGCCCTCCTCCTGAAGCAGTCTCGGAGCTTGCAGCCACCCCGTTAGCTCAACAGCATCCCACATGCATTCTTACCATGCTGCAGATCTGAAAGACCTTAGAGGCCCTTGTGTCAGGAACCTGGGACTAAGACTAAATATCAAAACAGAAAATGCTCCTATTACCTCTGTCACGAAGGGCTTTATAAGAGCTTTGGAAGCTCTATGCCAGGAACCAGGGGCAGAGACCAAATGTATATTTCTTTTCTTATATCGGAGACAGAGTCTCACTCTGCCACTGAGGCTGGAGTGCAGTGATGTGATCATAGCTCACTGCAGCCTTGACCTCCTAGGCTAAAGCAATCCTCCCACCTTAGCCTCTCCAGTAGCTGGAACTACAGGCATGCATCACCATGTCCAGCTGATTTTAATTTTGTAAAGGCAGGATCTTCCTATTTTCCCCAGGCTGATCTCTAACTCTTGGCCTCAAGCAATCCTTCCTCTTTGGCCTCCCAAAATGTTGGGATTACAGATGGGAGCCCCCATACCCACCAATCACAAGGATCTTTATAAGAGAATGAGGTAGGAGAGTCAGAATTAGAGAAAGTGATGTGGTAATGGAAGAAGAGGTCAGAGAGGGAGATTTGAAGATGCTGCACTTCTGGCCTTGAATATGGAGTCACGAGGTAAGTCAAGGAATGGGGGTGGCTTCTAGAAGCTGGAAAAGGCAAAGGAGCACATTCTGTCTAGAGCCTCCCCCAGAAGGAATGCAGCCTCTCTGACACCTTGACTTTAGCCTTAATAGACCTAGTTGGGCTTCTGGCCCCCAGAACTGTAAGATGGTAGATTTGTGGTGTTTGATGCCACTAAATGTAGGGTACTTTGTTGTAGCAACAACAAAAAATGAACACGAAGCTGGGACCTCATGTTACAGTTGCTCACGCCTGTAATCCCAGAACTTTAGGAGGCTGAGGTGGGAGGATCGCTTAAGCCCAGGAGCTTAAGACCAGCCTGGGCAACATAATGAGACCTCATGTCTAAAAAAAATATTTTTTTAAAGGCCAGGCGCAGTGGCTCACGCCTGTAATCCCAGCACTTTGGGAGGCCGAGGAGGGTGGATCACGAGGTCAGAAGTTCAAGACCAGCCTAGCCAAGATGGTGAAACCCCATCTCTACTAAAAATACAAACATTAGCCAGGTGTGGTGGTGGGTGCCTGTAATCCCAGCTACTTGGGAGGCAGAGAATCACTTGAACCCAAAAGGCAGACATTGCAGTGAGCCAAGATCGCACCCTTACACTTCAGCCTGGGCGACCGAGACTCCGTCTCAAAAAAAAAAAAATAAAAGCCATGTGTTGTGGCATGCAGCTGTAGTCTCAGTTCCTAGGGTGGCTGAGGCGGGAGGATTGTTTAAGCCTGGGAGGTTGAAGTTGCTGTGAGCTGTGATTGCACCAGTGTACTCCAGCCTGGGCAATAAAGCAAGATCTTGTTTCAAAAAGAAAGAAAGAAATGAGCATGGTGGGAATGGGGACAGATGGCAGTGTTAAGTAGAGTGGTCAGGGTTGGCCTCATAAGTGAATATTGAGCAAAAGTTTGAAGCAGGTGATGGAGCTGGCCAAGGTGCTGAGGGAAGAGCATTGTAGGCTGAGTCAACAGGATAAAGGCATTAGGAGGAAACTCTCTGGTGTGTCTGAGGCTCTGGAAGGAGGCCAGTGGAGCAAAGAGATGGAGCGAAGTCAGCGAGGAGGCCAGGGAGTTGCTGGGCTGGGATCGGTACAGATCGTGTAAGCCCTGGGACGCTATTGCTGGGGCTTTGGCTTTTGCTCTGACTAAAATGGGAACCACCGAGGGCTTCTGAGCAGAGAGGCGACATGATCCGTCTCCTGATTTAAAAGCACGACCTGGCTGCCGAGTTGAGAAAGACTATGGGAAGATTTGGGTAGAAGCATGGGAGCCAAGCTGTGGCAACATCCCGGTGGGAGATGATAGTGATCCTGACGGGGTTCATGGTGGTGGTGAGAGATGGTTAGAGCCTGGATACATGTTGAAGTCAGTCAGTAGGATTTCCTGACAGACTGGATGTGAGCTGTGAGAGAAGGCAGTGGTCAAGGTTGAGTTTGATTCTGATTGAATTATTAAGTAATTTTAAAAAACACTACTGCTTTTCCCAATCCTACCAAGTAAAGGATGCTAGATAAAAGAAATCCCAAGTCAGGCCAGGTACAGTGGCTCACACCTATAGTTCCAACAGTTTGAGAGGCAGAGATGGGAGTATGTTTTAAGGCCATGAGTTTGAGAGCAGCCTGGGCAACACAGCAAGACCTCCTCTCTACAAAAATAAAAAAAATAAATTTAATAAAAGAAAATAAATATAGCCAGGCATGATGGTATGTACCTATGGCCCCAGTTACTCATGTGGCTGAGATGGGCAGATCTCTTGATTCTAGGAGTTTGAGGCCAGCTTGGGCAACATAGCAAGTCTTCTCTCTCTACAAAAATGAAAAAAATGCCTGACATGGTGGTACTTGCCTGTATTCCCAGGTATGGGGGCAGCTGAGGCAGGAGCATCTCTTGAGCCCAGTTGGTCAAGGTTGCAGTGAGCTATGATTATACCACTGCACTCCATCCTGGGTGACAGAGTGGGACCCTGTCTCAAAATACAAATACAAATGAAATCTCAAGTCAGACCAGTCCCTTCTAGGCTATGTAGGCCTTGTAACCATACAGCTGCATGATCGGGTTTGTGTGGCTGTGGATGAGGAGACCCCTGTCCAATTGTTGGCTATGTAATCAGTTTATTTTTCAATATAGTAATCAAATATATTTCATCATACTTGATGGTCTCAGATATGTGTGGATTTTGGAATTTCCCTTGGAACAGGTTGTAACATCTTATTGGCTCCATAATTCCATAATTTTTTAAATCGGATCAGTTTTTAATAAGATCGCAATTTATATTAGACTACTTAATCGGTTTTGTTAATGAGAAAATGAAATTGTGTTGTTTGCATTTTATCCAAGATGGGTGTCATATTGGGTAAATCTCATCAATACTTGAACAAATGCAAAATTAGAGCTTCTTTATCATGAAACACGATGTAATTCTTGAAGAAGATGCCATTTCTTTTTTTTCTTTTTTTTTTTAAGATAAGAGTCTTTCTCTTGTCACCCAGGCTGGAGTGCAATGGTGCGATTTTGGCTCACTGCAACCTTCACCTTCTGGGTTCAAGCAATTCTCCTGCCTCAGCCTCCCGAGTAGCTGGGATTACAGGTGCCCGCCACCATACCCAGCTAATTTTTGTATTTTTAGTAGAGATGGGATTTCACCATGTTGGCCAGGCTCCTCTGGAGCTCCTGACCTCAGGCAATCTGCCTGCCTCAGCCTCCCAAAATTCAAGGAGTACAGATGTGAACAACCACGCCCGGCCTCCATTTCTTTTTTGTAGTCTTTAATAAACAGCTGCTATCATTGCAGACTTGCTGTTTAGGCACTTAGGAATTTTTCACTAGAAGGCATGTAAATAAAGACCATGGGCAATTGTAATGAATTTCGCCTTCATTCTTTGACTACATGACTGTCCCCAGAGCTGTAACTTTATTGAATTTTTTAGAAGCCATTTAGCTAGCAACTGAGCCTAACCAGCCACTCACTGTCATTATTCAGTGCTCTTTTATTATTGTCTATTTCTCCTCCAACTTGGCTACACTCACAAAGTGATAAAAACTTGCATTTGTTTTCTTTCCTTTTCAGAGACAGCGTCTTGCTCTGTTGCTTAGGCTACAGTACAGTGACATGATCATGGTTCACTGTAGCCTCAAACTCCTGGGCTCAAGTGGTTCTCTCACTTCAGTCTCCCAAGTAGCTGGGACTACAGACATGTGCCACCATGTCCAGGTAATTTTTTATCATAGAGACGGGATCTTGCCATGTTGCTCCGACTGGGCTCAAAACTCCTGACCTCAAGTGATCCTCCTGCCTCAGCCTCCCAAAGTGCTGGGATTACAGGCAGGCATGACCACCTGTGCCCAGCCCCCTATTATTATTATTTTAAATAATAGCTTTATTAAAATATTCACATACCATTCACTTTATTTATTGAAATCTGCAATTCAGTAGGTTTTAGAATATTCACAGAGCTGTGCATCGATCACCACAGTCACTTTTAGAACCTTTCATTACCCTATAGAGAAATCCATACCCCTTAGCCACTACCTCCTACTCTCCCCACCTACCTTTGCCCCCAGCCTTAGGCAACCATTGATTAATTTTTTTGTCACTATAGATTTGCCTAATCTGGACAAATAGAATTGTACAATATGTGATCTTTTGTGGCTTTTTTTCCCTCTTAGCACAGTGTTTTCAAAGTTCCTTTATGTCATAGTGTGTATCAATATTTCATTCCTTCTATGGCAGTATTCCATGGTAGAGACACACTGCATTTTGTTTATCTGTTCATCAGTTGGTGGATATTTGGGTTGTTTCCATGTATTCCATGTATTGGTCATTATGAATAATGCTGCTATGAAGATTGTTGTACAAGTTTTTGTGTGGACATATATTTTTATTTTTCTGGGATATATGCCTAGGAGTGAAATTGTTGCATTATAGGATGACTGTACATTTAGCCTTTTGAGAAACTGCCAGAATGTTTTCTAACGTGGCTATACCAGTTGGGTGCAATGGCTCACACCTGTAATCCCAGCTACTCAGGAGGCTCAGCTAGGAGGATGGCTTGAGCCCGTGAATTCAAGACCAGCCTGGGCAAGATAGTGAAACCCCGTCTTGATTTTTTAAAAATCCAATTAAAATGACAAGAAAAGAAATACCCAAACAAAATGGTTACACAATTTTATGTTCCCACCAGTAATGTATGTGGGTTCCAATTCCTCCACATCTTCACTGACATTTTTTTTTCTAGATAGGGGCTTGCTCTGTCTCTCAGGCCGCAGTGCAATGATGCCATCACAGTTCACTGCAGCCGTGACCTCCCAGGCACAAGTGATTCTCTCATCTCAGCCTCCTGGGTAGCTGAAAATTACAGGTGTACGCCACCATGCCTGGCTAATTTTTATATTTTTCTGTAGTGGTGGGATTTTACCATGTTGCCCAGGCTGGTCTCATACTCCTGGCCTCAAGTGATCTGCCCACCTCAGCCTCCCTAAGTTCTGGAATTACAGGCTGCCACCATGCCCGGCCTTCACCAACATTTGCCATTATCTGTTTTTTTTTTCTTCCTTTATACCTTAAAGCAGTATAAGAACAAGTGTCTTCAATTATAGGAAACAGTATAATCCCAGGGCTTTGGGAGGCTAAGACAGGAAGATGTCTTGATGCCAGGAGTTTTTTTTGTTGTTGTTGTTTTTGTTTTTGTTGTTGTTGTTGTTGTTGACAGTCTCGCTCTGTCACCCAGGGTGGAGTGCAGTGATGGGGTCCACTGCAACCTCCACCTCCCAGGTTCAAGTGATTCTCCTGCCTCAGCCTCCCGAGTAGGTGAGACTACAGGCACACGCCACTACTGCCCAGCTGATTTTTGTATTTTTGATAGAGTCAGAGTTTCACCGTGTTGGCCAGGCTGGTCTCGAACTCCAGACTTCAGGTGATTTGCCTGCCTTAGCTTCCCAAAGTGCTGCGATTACAAGCATGAGCCACCATGCCCAGCCTGATGCCAGGAGTTTTAGACTAGCCTGGGCAACCTAGCAAGACCTTGTCTCTACAGAATATTTAAAAATTAGCCAAATGTGGTGGTGCCTGTGTATAGTCTCTCTCCCTCTCTCTTTTTTTTTTCTAACTTTTTGTGACATGGTCTGGCTCTGTCACCCAGGCTGAAGTGCAGTGGTGTGATCATGGCTCACTGCAGCCTGAAACTCCTGGGATCAAGTGATCAATCCTCCCACCTCATCCTACCAAGTAGTAGGGACCACAGGTGTGTGCCACCCAGGTCTTGCTATGTTGTCCAGGCTGGTCTTGAGCTCCTGGCCTCAAGCAATCCTCTCACCTTGGCCCCCCACAGTGCAAGGATTACAGGTATGAGCCACCATGCCTGGCCCCTACCCTGCCTACTGAGAACCAAAGGAAGGATCCAAATTCTCCTTAGCTCAACTCGAGCCATTTCCTGATTGCTTCATCAGCGAGGAGCTGGTTATTGGGCTGTCCAGGCCTCCCAAGCAGCACAGAAATGAGGTGAAGGAGTTTTCCTGTTGCTCCACTCTGTAAGGAGTTGGAGGGTGATGTTTACTCGTTTGCAGAGAGAGATGCCTTGTAGGCACCTCAGGATGGAGAGGGCCCTGATTCCAATGTCCTTTTTTTCTTCAGAAACAGGACCTTGCCCTGTCACTCAGGATGGAGTTCAGTGGTCCTATCATGGCTCATTATAGCCTCAAACTCCCAGGCTCAAGCAATCCTACCATGTCAGCCTTCCCAGTAGCTGGGACTACAGGTAAGCATCGTGACACTCAGTGAATTTTGTTTTTATTTTGTTGTAGAGATGGGACCTCAGTATGTTGCCATGGCTGACCTTGAACTCCTGCACTCAAGGGATTTTCCTACCCTGGCCTCCCAAAGTATTGGTATTACAGGCATGAGCCATTGTGCCCACCGTCTCTGGTTCTTAACCTTCTGCCTCCCTCTTCCAGTTTTAAAGAATGCTTGTAATTACATGGGCTCTCCTAGATACTCCAGGATAATCTTGTTTTAAGGTCAGCTGATGAGCAACATTAATTTTATCTGCACTCTTAATTCCCCCTTCCTCTGTAACTGTGCTGTGTAACATAGGACATGAGCAATTGGTGGCGGTGGGGGTTATTACTTTGGCCACCACAGTAACTATTTTATGCCAGGTACTCAGCTAAGCACTGGTGAATTAAGCATGAATAACACACACTCCCTAATCTCCATCCATTCATGGGAGGAGCACTTCACCTGCCATGCTCCTGAGAATCTCGGGAGTCATAGAAGTCTTCTATGAGGAGGTGATGCCAAAGCGGACAAGTGACAGAGGAGTCAAAGCTAGCTAGGAAGAGAGTAGAGGTTTAAGGGGAAGCATATTATAAGCAGAGGATATTACCCACTTCAGAGACTCCCAGAGGAGAAAGAGTGTGCGTTCAAGGGGCAGATGAGGCTCAGTTGGACTCCATAGCAGATGAAATGGAGAGGGGCAAGCAGTGAGGCTGCCTTGCAAGGCAGGGCAGAGCAGGGGCTGTTAAGGAGTTTGGACTTAATCCCTGAGGCAAGGAGAAGTGATGTAAATGGGGGAGTAACATGATGAGATTCATAGATTAGAGACATGGCTCAGGCTGCTGTAGAGAAGGCACCGGGAAGAGCAGATGGCTCAATGTGTGTGCAGAAGACCTCTCCCTGAGTTTAGGGAGAGGTTTTTAAAACAGAAGAAGTTTGAGTAATTTAAATGATGATGGGAAGGAGCTAAAAGTGGGGGATAGGTTAAAGATACAGGAAAGTGGGAGGAAGAACTGACAAGTGAGGTTCCAGAGAGGGCAGGAGAAGAGGAGATTCCCATAGGGGGATTAACACTTTCTTTTCTTTTTTCTTTCTAAGACAGGGTCTCACTCTGTCGCCCAGGCTGGAGTGCAGTGGCACAATCTTGGCTCACTGTAGTGTAGACTTCCCAGGCTCAAGGGATTTCTCCCACCCCAGACTCCCAAGTAGCTGGAACTACGGGTGTGCACCACCACCACACCTGGCTAATGTCTCTTTTTTTTGGTAGACACAGAGTCTCACTATTTAGCACTGATTGGTCTCCAACTCCTGGCCTCAAGCGATCCTCCTGCCTAGGCTTCCCAAATTGCTGGGATTACAGGCATGAGCCACAATGCCTGGCCTCTGCTAGTTCCGTATTCTCTAGAGTTGTCTTTACTTTGTGCTAGTGTGTCCCTCATTGTGCTGATCCTCTGTAAAAATTAATACCTTTTTTTTTTTTTGAGATGGAGTTTCACTCTTGTTGCCCAGGCTGGAGTGCAATGGCGCTATCTCGGCTCAGCGCAACCTCCACCTTCTGGGTTCAAGCAATTCTCCTGCCTCAGCCTCCCGAGTAGTTGGGATTACAGGCATGTGCCACCATGCCCAGCTAATTTTGTATTTTTAGTAGAGATGGGGTTTCTCTGTGCTGGTCAGGCTGGTCTCGAACTCCTGACCTCAGGTGATCTGTCTGCCTTGGCCTCCCAAAGTGCTGGGATTACAGGCATGAGCCATTTTGCCTGGCCAAAATTAATACTTTTTATATTAAATTTACATATATATATATATATATATATATATATATATACGTTTTTTCTTTTTGATACCGGGTCTCACACTGTCACCCAGGCTGGAGTACAGTGGCACAACCTCTGCTCACTGCAGCCTCCACCTGCCAGGCTCAAGCAATTCTCCTGCCTCAGCCTCCCGAGTAGCTGGGATTACAGGTAAGTGCCACCACACCCAGCTGATTTTTGTGTTTTTTGTAGAGACGAGGTTTCGCCATGTTTCCCAGACTGTTCTCAAACTCCTGAGCTCAAAGCAGTCCACCCACCTTGGCCTCCCAGAGTTCTGGGATTACAGGTGTGAGCCATCTTGCTCATTCTAGTTTAAACTTTTGAGTGGTTTGTGTCTCCTGATTGGACTCCTACAAATACAGAATTGATGCTAGGAAGGGTACCAGGAGATAGACGCACACAGATGGGATTTGGGAATAGGTTTGGTTATCCAAGGAGCAGTGCTGAGCTCCTTGCAATGGGATATGGGATGCTGGTGATTTCCAGGATGTGAGCTCACAATGACTCAAGCTGCCACATACTGTTGATTGTGAAATGCCAGTTGAAGCATATGTCCTGCGAGCTTAGGGGTGCTACAAGTTGACCACTGCAGCAGTAAAGATGACTCTGAAGAATGGCGTGGGTTGGTTCCTTTCAAATGCACTTGAGCAGCGGTCTCCAACCACAGGGCCACAGAGCTGGAGGTGAGCAGCAGGCGAGTGAAGGGAAACTTCATCTGTATTTCTAGCCCCTCCCATCGCTTGCATGACCACCTGAGCTCCATGTCCTGTCAGATCAGCAGCAGCATTAGATTCTCACAGGAGCACAAACTCTGTTGTGAAGTGTGCATGCGAGGGATCTAGGTTGTGTACTCCTTATGAGAATCTAATGCCTGATATTCTGTTACTGTCTCCCATCACCCCAGATGGACAGTCTAGTTGCAGGAAAACAAGCTCAGAGATCCCACTGAGTCTACGTTATAGTGAGTTGTAGAATCATTTCATTATATATTACTATGTAGTAATAATAGAAATAAAGTGCACAATATATGTAATGCACTTGAATCATCCTGAAATTATTCCCTCATTCCCAGTCTGTGGAAAAATTGTCTTCCACACATTCACTCTGTTTTTTGGTAGAGGCAGGGTCTTAATATATTGCCCAGTCTGATCTCAAACTCCTGGCCTCAAGTAATATACCTCTCTCAGCCTCCCAAAGTGCTGAGATTACAGGCATAAGCCACCACCCTCAACCAAGACTTTCTTAAACCAAATAAAAATTAAGTGAGATTACTTGAGCCCAGGTGGTCAAGGCTGCAGTGAGCCTGATTGCACCACTGCACTCCAGCCTAGGTGACAGAATGAGACTGTCTCAAAAAATAAAATAAAATACAAATTAACCCTTCATGACATTCCCAGTAACTTCCTAAGTGCTCCCCACAAGTCTTTGAATTCTGTTTAATTCTCACATAACATTTAAGACATTTAAGAACTTATGTCTGTCTGTGTCATCCCTTTATGTCAAAAGATGTCTTTTTGTCACTTCCAGCTGGATCTACCATGAAAGACTTGTGAATCCAGGAAGAGAGACTGACTGGGCAACATGTTATTCAGGTACAAAAAGATTTGGACTGTAACTTAAAAATGATCAAATTATGTTTCCCATGCATCAGGTGCAATGGGAAGCTCTTCTGGAGAGTGAGAGAAGCTTCCAGTTAAGGTGACATTGAAGCCAAGTCCTGAAAGATGAGGAAGAGTTGTATGAGAGTGGGGAGGGAAGGGGGAGGTGGAGGGATGGGGAATGGGCCGGGATGGGATAGCGCAAACTGTCCGGGAAGGGAAACCAGCACTGTACAGACCTGAACAACGAAGATGGCATATTCTGTTCAGGGAATGGTGAATTAAGTGTGGCAGGAATGCTTTGTAGACACAGTAATTTGCTTGTATGGAATTTTGCCTGAGAGACCTCATTGCAGTTTCTGATTTTTTGATGTCTTCATCCATCACTGTCCTTGTCAAATAGTTTGGAACAGGTATAATGATCACAATAACCCCAAGCATAATATTTCGTTAATTCTCACAGAATCACATGTAGGTGCCACAGTTATCCCCATTTTATGAATGGAGTGATGAAAACCTTAGGAATAATGAATGATTTGCGCAGGCTCACCTGGATATTAAGACTGAGTCAAATGTTGGGTCTGGTCTGACTTTAATGTTTGCTTTGTTCATGAGCACCACATATTGCCTCTCCTATGCAGTTAAGCAGGTAGGTGACAGAAAAGCCCATGTTTGTCTCTACTCACACACTTCCGACTGAATGTACGTATGGAGTTTCTACACCAGATTCTTCAGTGCTCTGGATATTAACTGGGTATCCCATGACTTTATTCTGACACTACCTGGAGTTAGCACAGACCCCACAAGTTAGGGGCTCAGTCCCACGAGGCCATCCTCACTTCAGATGACAATGGCAAGTCCTAAGTTGTCACCATACTTTTGACCAACCTGTTACCAATCGGGGGTTCCCGTAACTGTCTTCTTGGGTTTAATAATTTGCTAGAACAGTTTACGGAACTCAGAAAAACAGTTTATTTTCTTTTTTTCTGAGAGAGAGGGTCTTATTTTGTTGCCCAGGCTGGTGTGCAATGGTGCAGTCATAGCTCATTGCAGCCTTGATTGTCTGGGTTCCAGTGGTTCTCCCACCTCAGCCTCCCTAGTAGCTGAGACTACATGCCTGCACCACCACATCTGGCTAGTTTCTTTTATTTTTTGTATAGATGGGGTCTTGTTGTGTTGGCCAGGCTGGCCACAAATTCCTGGTCTCAAGTGATCCTCCCACCTCAGCCTCTGAAAGTGCTGGGATTACAGATGTGAGCCACCACATCTGGCCAGTTCATTTCCTATTACTGGTTCATTGTGAAGGATACATCTCAGAAACAGTCAATGAAAGAGACGTGCATGCTGGATGCAGTGGCTCATGCCTGTAATCTCAGCACTTTGGGAGGCCAAGGTGGGAGGATCGCTTAAACTCAGGAGTTTGAGACCAGCCTGGGCAACATGGTGAAAACCTGTCTCTATAAAAAATTAAAAAATAATAATAATAACTGGTGTGGTGTTGTGCACCTAGAGTTCCAACTACTAGGGAAGCTGAGATGAGAGGATACCTTGAGCTGGGGACTGGGGAGGCTTAGGTTACAGTAAGCTGAGATTGTGCCACTGCACTCCAGCTTGGACAAAAGAGCCTGATCCTGTCTCAAAAAAAAGAAAGATACCCAGGGCAAGTTAAGTTCGGAGGGGCACAGAGCTCCCATGCCCTCTGTTGAACATGCGACCCTCCCAGCATCTCCTGTGTCCAGCAACCCTGAAAGCTCTGCAAACCCCTTTCAGGGTGTTTATGGAGGCTTTATTATGCAAGCATGATTGATAAAACCTTTGGCTGTTGGTGATTAAGTCAGTCTCCAGCCCCTCTTCCCCCTGGAGTTCAGTGCATGAGGCTGAAAGTTCCAAGCCTCTTACCATGTGGTTGCATGGTAATCAGCCCTCCTCTTGAAGAAATTTAGGAGCTTGCAGTCACCCAGTCATCTCAACAACATCCCCAAATGCATTCTTACCATGCTGGAGATCCCAAAGTTCTTAGAGGCTCTTGTGTTAGAAACCTGGGACCAAGACCAAATATTAAAACAAAAGATGCTCCTGTCACATCTATCACTGAGGTCTTTGTAAGAGCTTTAGAAGCTCTGTGCCAGGAACCAGGGACAGAGATTAAATATATATTTCTTTTCTTTTTTTTGAGACAGAATCTTCCTGTGCCATCCAGGCTGGAGTGCAGTGATGTGATCATAGCTCACTATAGCTTTGGCCTTCTGAGATCAAGCAATCCTCCCATCTCAACCTCCCAAGTAGCTAGGACTACACACGCATGTCACCCATGCCCAGATCATTTTTGTAGAGTCAGAGTTTCACCGTGGTGGCCAGGTTGGCCATGTTGGCCAGATGGGGTCTTCTTTTGTTGCCCAGGCTGGCCACAAATTCCTGGGCTCAAGTGATCCTCCCACCTCGTCCTTGTAGAGATGAGATTTAGTTATGTCGTCCAGGCTGATCTCAAACTCCTGGGCTAAATCGATTGTCTCACCTCAGCCTCTCAAGTATGTTATGAAGGTTATATGTTAGGAAGGGTCCCAGGAGGTAAACCCACACAGATGGGATTTGGGCATAGGTTTGGTTTCCCAGGGGGCAGTGCTGAGCTCTTTGCCAGTGGGAAATGGGATGCTGGTGATTTCCAGTAGGTGACCTCACAGTGACTCAAGCTACCACTTACTGTTGATTGTGACGAAATGCCAGCTGAGGCACATGCCTTGGGAGCTAAGTGGTTGCTGCCCTTGACCACTGTGAAGACTGGTGTGGGAAGGGTCGTTTTGGATGCACTTGAGCAGGGGTCCCCAACCCCTGAGCCATGGAGCCGCAAGGAGCCACACAGCAGGAGGTGAGCGGTGTCGAGTGAGGGAGTGAGGGAAGCTTCGTCTGTATTTACAGCCACTCCCCTTTGCTCACATTCCCGCCTGAGCTCCACCTTCTCAGATGAGCAGCAGCATTAGATGCTCATAGGAGAACGCACCCTGTTGTGAACTGTGCATGTGAGGGATCTGGGTTGCGCTGTCCTTATGAGAGTCTAATACCTATTGATCTGTCACTTTCTCCCATCACGCTCAGGTGGGAACATCCAGTTGCAGGAAAACAAGCTTAACACGCCCACTGATTCTACATTATGGTGAGTTCTATAATTATTTTATTATATATTACAGTGTAATAATGGAAATAAAGTGCCTAATAAATGCAAATGTGCTTACATCTTTTGGCCCAGCTCCTACCTCCCGGCAGCCTCTCCAGGCCCAGAACTTTCTCCAGTCAGCCTCTACAGACCAAGCTCATGACTCTCAATGGCCTATTTAGGCCCATACCCTACGTCACGGCAGCCTCCGCAGATGAGGCTACTGCCTCACAACAGCCTCCACAGGCACAGCTCCATCGTTACAATGGCCTCTTTAGACCCAGCTCCTGCCTCCCAGCCTTCTCTCCAGGCCCTGAACTTTCTCAGTAAGTTCAGGTAGCTGGGACTGTAGGTATACATGACGATACTTGGCTAATTTTTAAATTGTTTTGTAGACACGGGGTCTCACTTTTTTGGCCAGGCTGGTGTCAAACTAATGGCCTCAAGTGACCCTTCCACCCCTGCCTCCCATCCTCGAGGTATGTGCCACCACAAGGAGCACTTGTTCAATTTTCTAAAAAAGAAATTTCTAAAGTAAGGCTGTGGGATGATGGCAGGAAGATAAAAGAAAAACAGAAGAATAAGTTAAAATGACTTATTCACGCATATTCTTTTGACAGCAAGAAGAACTTTTAGTATATACATTCCTTACAAACAAACAAAAGGCAGATAAACAATGTTGTATAGGAACTTCAACACACACTGTACAATATTCCCACTTTGCTGACATAAGTTATGGAAATTTCATGGTTTACTTGAGTGTCGCTACCAGTATTTTGCTTCTCTGATGATTTTTATCAACTTCCTCATCTGTTAACTTCTCTCCAAGGTATGTCATGTCACGACATACTGCCGCTGCACGAACATGGCCAGTGTCTTCCTATTCAACATGTAGAATGCTTTCCTAATTTCTCTTTTTACTCTCTGTCTTTGTGTTCTGCATTTTCCTTACTTTTATTGTCAGAAACTCCAGAAAGTCAATCGTACTAATTTATCACGATTTGCTTTATTAATTTATACTTTGCTTATATGGAATTTTGCCCAGCAGACCTCATCACAGTTTCTAACCTGCTTTATTTATTTATTTATTTTTTTCTGAGACAGGGTCTCCCTCTGTTGTCCAAGGCTGGAGTGTAGTAGTGCTATCGCAGCTGACTGCAGCCTCAACCTTCCAGGCTGAAGCGATCCTCCCACCTCAACCTCCCACGTGGCTGAGACTACAGGTGCTTGCCACTATGCCCAACTAACATTTGGAATTTTCGTATACGTGGATTCTAGAGGGGTGACAGCGAAACGTGAGTAAGCATGGATTTTGGTATATGCAGAGATGGGGGGCTGGAACTAATTCTGTATACTGAGGGATGACGACTGTGTATGTTTTTACAATTACGCTGTAGGATACATACTGTTGCATAGCCTTGAAAATAATAATTTTTAATTGAGTGGAATAAGAATAATATTGATAAAAGTAGCAGCTGGCCAGGTGTGGTGGCTCACACTGGTAATCGCAACACTTTGGGAGGCTGAGGCAGGAGGATGGCTTGAGGCCAAGAGTTTGCGATAGGCCTTGGAAACAAAGGGGGAGTCACCATCCCTACAGAAAAATACATGAATTAGCCTAGTGTGGTGGCATGTTCCTGTAGTCCCAGCTACTTGGGAGGCTGAGGTGGGAGGATCACTTGAGCCCAGGGAGGCTGAGACCGCAGTGAGTCATGATCAGGCCTCTGCACTCCAGCCTGGGTGACAGAGTGAGACCCTGTCTCAAAACAACAAAAAAGTAGCAGCTAACATCAACTGACCTTTTACCAGGTGCCTATTGATACCATAGTTTAATTTCTTATAACTGTTTCTTATTTCACTTACCAACTCTGTCTTCAGTTACTCCCAGATTTTTACTGTGTGTGTACAGATGACCTTTTGCTTAGATTGAATTGTCTCCCCAGAAGTAAGATTACTGTGAGTCATGGTGAATGGACATTCTCCTTACCCTTGATGTAAATTGACAGGGTTTTGGGTGCCTCCCAGCTATAATCTTAGCACTTTGGGAGGCTAAGAGAGGAGGATTGCTTGAGGCCAAGAGTTGGAGGAGGCAGTATGGCAGTATGGTGAGACCCTGTCTCCATTATTTTAAAAAATTGACAGGCTTTACCCTGGAAGGCTTATACACAATTTAACCACCCCTCATAGTATAAGAAAGTGCCCATTTCACTGCACCTTTGCCAGCACAGGGTATTATAATTTAGTAAGCCATTTTTTGTTTGATTATTTTAAATAGACAAAAGACCTCATATTACTTTACTTGTCACATTTCAACATCTTTCCTCAGCTTATTAGCTCTATTTCTTTTCTGTCTGTAAATGGTTGTTGTGGTTTTGTTCTTTGAGACAGGGTCTTGCTCTGTCATCCGGCTGGACTGTAGTGGCATAATCATGCCTCACTGCAGCCTTGACCTCCCAGGCTCAAACTTCAGCATTCCGAGTAGCTGGGACTACAAGTGTGCACCACCACCCCCAGCTAACTTTTTTCTTCTTTTGGATAGAGACAGGGTCTCACTGTGTCGTCCAGAGCGGTCTCTAGCTCCTGGCCTTAAGCAATCCTCCTGCATTAGCTTCTGTAATGGCTGGAATTTCAGGCATGAGCCACCATGCCTGGCCTGGGCTAGTCCCATATTCTCTAGAGTTATCTTTACTCTGTGCTAGCCAATCTCTCATTATGCTGTTCACCTGTTATAATGAATAATTCTCTGTATTAAATTTTACCACTTTAAACTTTTGAGTGGTTTATGCTTCCTGATTGGACTCTGACTAATATGTTAGGAAGGGTCCCAGGAGGTAAACCCACACAGATGGGATTTGGGCATAGGTTTGGTTTCCCAGGGGGCAGTGCTGAGCTCTTTGCCAGTGGGAAATGGGATGCTGGTGATTTCCAGTAGGTGACCTCACAGTGACTCAAGCTACCACTTACTGTTGATTGTGACGAAATGCCAGCTGAGGCACATGCCTTGGGAGCTAAGTGGTTGCTGCCCTTGACCACTGTGAAGACTGGTGTGGGAAGGGTCGCTTTGGATGCACTTGAGCAGGGGTCCCCAACCCCTGAGCCATGGAGCCGCAAGGAGCCACACAGCAGGAGGTGAGCGGTGTCGAGTGAGGGAGTGAGGGAAGCTTCGTCTGTATTTACAGCCACTCCCCTTTGCTCACATTCCCGCCTGAGCTCCACCTTCTCAGATGAGCAGCAGCATTAGATGCTCATAGGAGAACGCACCCTGTTGTGAACCGTGCATGTGAGGGATCGAGGTTGCGCTGTCCTTATGAGAGTCTAATACCTATTGATCTGTCACTTTCTCCCATCACGCTCAGGTGGGACCATCCAGTTGCAGGAAAACAAGCTTGACACGCCCACTAATTCTACATTATGGTGAGTTCTATAATTATTTTATTATATATTACAGTGTAATAATGGAAATAAAGTGCCTAATAAATGCAAATGTGCTTACATCTTTTGGCCCAGCTCCTACCTCCCGGCAGCCTCTCCAGGCCCAGAACTTTCTCCAGTCAGCCTCTACAGACCAAGCTCATGACTCACAATGGCCTATTTAGGCCCATACCCTACGTCACGGCAGCCTCCGCAGATGAGGCTACTGCCTCACAACAGCCTCCACAGGCACAGCTCCATCGTTACAATGGCCTCTTTAGACCCAGCTCCTGCCTCCCAGCCTTCTCTCCAGGCCCTGAACTTTCTCAAGTCGACCTCACCAGGCCCAGCTCATGCTTCTTTGCAGCCTCTCCAGGCCCAGCTCCTGCATCTTGGTGGCCCCTCCAGGCCCAGCCTCTGCCTCCCGTCAGCCTCTACAGTCCCAACGTCTGCCTCACAGCAGATTCTTCACGCCCAGCATCTACCTCACTGTGGACCCCCCAAGCCAAGCTCCCAACCTTTCAGCAGCTTCTACACACCCAGCTCCCGCCTGCCAGTGGCCTCTTCAGGCCCATGGGGCTCATTCCTGACAACGGCCTTTCCAGGCCCAGTTTTTCCCTTCCGGCGGCCTCTCCGGGCCCAGAACCTCCTCAAGTCAGCCTCTCCAGACCCACTTGCACCCTCCGGGCGTTCTCTCCGGGCCCAGCTCTTCTTCCTGGTTGGGTCTCCAGGCCCGATTCCTGCCTCTCAACAACCTCTTTGGACTCAGTGCCTACCCATCTCCTGGCGGCCTTGGTCGGCCCACAGCTTCCTCAAGCCAAGCTCCCCAGGCCCAGGTCAGGCCTCACGGTGGCCTCTCCAGGATGAGCTCCTGCCCTCCGATGGCATCTCCAGGCCCCAAATGGTCTCCGGTCGGTGGGCTCCTCCACGCCAAGGTTGGGCCTCCCGGCGACTGCCGCAGGCCCAAGTTGTCCTGAAGTCGGGCTCTCCCGGCCCTGCCTCCCAGCAAGTAAGCAAGCTCTTTTGGCTCAACTCCTGCCCAGCTCCCAACCGCCTTTGTAGGCCCCGAACTTTCTCCAGCCAAGCTCTGAGGGCCCACCTCCTGCCTCCTGGTGGCCTGTACAGTTCTAGCACTGGTTGGAGAACAGCCTCTGCAGGCCCCGCCTTGCCTCCCAGGGGCCTCTCCAGGCCAAGCTCTTGCACCCACGGCGGCCTCCCGGGGCAAGTCCCTGCCTGCCTCCCAGCAGCCCGCGTGCGCCCAGCTCCTCCCTCACGGTGGCCTGTTGATGCCAACTCATGCCTCTGGACCCTGCACAGAGCGTGACGCTGCCTCACACTGGCTACTCCACGCTGAGAGAGGTCAGTGTGAGCCCTTGCCTCACACCGGCTCCTCCCACGCTTGAGAGAGGTCAGCGTGAGCCCCTTGCCTCACACCGGCCCCTCCCACGCTGAGAGAGGTCAGTGTGAGCCCTTGCCTCACACCGGCCCCTCCCACGCGGACAGAGGTCAGCGTGAGCCCCTTGCCTCACACCGGCCCCTCCCACGCTGAGAGAGGTCAGTGTGAGCCCTTGCCTCACCCCGGCCCCTCCCACGTGGACAGAGGTCAGCGTGAGCCCCTTGTCTCACACCGGCCCCTCCCACGCTGAGAGAGGTCAGTGTGAGCCCTTGCCTCACACCGGCCCCTCCCACGCGGACAGAGGTCAGCGTGAGCCCCTTGCCTCACACCGGCCCCTCCCACGCGGACAGAGGTCAGCCCGAGCCCCTTGTCTCACACCGGCCCCTCCCATGCTGAGAGAGGTCAGCGTGCCCCTTGTCTCACACCGGCCCCTCCCACGCTGAGAGAGGTCAGCCCAAGCCCCTTGCCTCACACCGGCCCCTCCCACGCGGACAGAGGTCAGCCCGAGCTCCTTGCCTCACACCGGCCCCTCCCACGCTGAGAGAGGTCAGTGTGAGCCCTTGCCTCACACCGGCCCCTCCCACGCGGACAGAGGTCAGCGTGAGCCCCTTGCCTCACACCGGCCCCTCCCACGCTGAGAGAGGTCAGTGTGAGCCCTTGCCTCACACCGGCCCCTCCCACGCGGACAGAGGTCAGCGTGAGCCCCTTGCCTCACACCGGCCCCTCCCACGCTGAGAGAGGTCAGCCCGAGCCCCTTGCCTCACACCGGCCCCTCCCACGCTGAGAGAGGTCAGCGTGAGCCCCTTGTCTCACACCGGCCCCTCCCACGCTGAGAGAGGTCAGCCCGAGCCCCTTGCCTCACACCGGCCCCTCCCACGCTGAGAGAGGTGTGAGCCCCTTGTCTCACACCGGCCCCTCCCACGCGGACAGAGGTCAGCGTGAGCCCCTTGCCTCACACCGGCCCCTCCCACGCTGAGAGAGGTCAGTGTGAGCCCTTGCCTCACACCGGCCCCTCCCACGCGGACAGAGGTCAGCGTGAGCCCCTTGCCTCACACCGGCCCCTCCCACGCTGAGAGAGGTCGGTGTGAGCCCTTGCCTCACACCGGCCCCTCCCACGCGGACAGAGGTCAGCGTGAGCCCCTTGCCTCACCCCGGCCCCTCCCACGCTGAGAGAGGTCAGTGTGAGCCCTTGCCTCACACCGGCCCCTCCCACGCGGACAGAGGTCAGCGTGAGCCCCTTGCCTCACCCCGGCCCCTCCCACGCTGAGAGAGGTCAGTGTGAGCCCTTGCCTCACACCGGCCCCTCCCACGCGGACAGAGGTCAGCGTGAGCCCCTTGCCTCACACCGGCCCCTCCCACGCTGAGAGAGGTCAGTGTGAGCCCTTGCCTCACACCGGCCCCTCCCACGCGGACAGAGGTCAGCGTGACCCCCTGCCTCAACAGGCCACCGTGAGGGAGGAACAGGATCGCACTCGGGCTGCTGGGAGGTAGGCAGGGACTTGGGCCTGGGAGGTCGCGGTGGGGCGAGAGCTGGGCCTGGAGACTCCCCTGGGAGGCAACAGCGGGGTCTGCAGACGCCCTTCTCCAGCCGGAGCTGGGACTGTTCAGTCACTGGGAGAAGGGATGTGGGTCTGAAGAGCTTGGTTGCAGAAACTTCGGGGTCTACAAACGCAGGCGGGAGCTGAGCCAAAAGAGCTTGTTTGCTGGGAGGTGGGAGATGCAGCCAGGAGGAACAGCTGGGCAATGCGGGAGGCAGAGCCAGGCCTCCTCAAGTTGGCCTCTCAGACCCACTTGCAGCCTCCCGGCGCCCCCTCCGGGCCCAGCTCTTCCTCCCGGCTGCATCTCCAGGCCGGACTCTGGCCCGACTCCAGGTCCCAACAACGTCTTTGGACTCAGCTCCTGCCCAGCTCCCAGCGGCCCTGGTAGGCCCACAACTTCCCTAAGCCAAGCTCCCCAGGCCCAGCTCAGGCCTCGCGGTGGCCTCTCCAGGCTCAGCTCCTGGCCCTCCGATGACATCTGCAGGCCCCAAATGGCCTCCGGTCGGTGGGCTCCTCTAGGCCCAGCTTGGGCCTCCCGGCGGCCTCCGCAGGCCCAAATCGTCCCGAAGTCAGTCTCTCCAGGCTTAGCTCCAGCCTCCCGGCGGCCTCTGCAGGCCCAAGTCGTCCTCAAGTCGGCCTGGAAGTGGGCCTGGAAGAGCAGCAAGTCGGCCTCCCTGGGCCCAGCTCCGTCCTCTCGACGGCCTCTCCAGGTGCAAAACTTCCTCGAGTCAGCCTCTCCAGGCCCAGCTCCTCCTGCCTCCCAGTGGCCTCTTTCAGCCCAGCCCAGCTCATGGCTCTCGGCGGCCTTCGCAGGCCCTGCTTTTGACTTTTGGCAGCCTCTTCAGGCGCAGAACTTGATCTCCAGTCGGCCTTTGCAGGCCCGGCCTCCTGCCTCTCGAAGGCCTGCACGGGCCCGGCCTCGGCCTCGGCCTCACAGCGGACTCTCCACGCCCAGCTAGCTCTCGCCTCACTGCGGCCTCCCCAGTCCAAAGCTCCTGCCTTTCGGCCACTTCGGCAGGTCCAGCTCCTGCCTGCCAGTGGCCTCTTTAGGCCCAGCTCATTCCTCACGTCGGCCATTCCAGGCCCCGTTTTTCCCTTCCGGCAGCCTCTTGGCCTCTAATTTGTTTATCTTTTGTGTATAAATCCCAAAATATTGAATTTTGGAATATTTCCACCATTATGTAAATGTTTTGGTAGGTAATTTATTTGGAGTGAGTTTCTGCGTCAAGCCCGAGTTTTTTATTTTATTTTCCTTATTATTTGGTGTTAAACAGGTTTAATGACGGTCATGGCAACTTTTTGGCACAATGAAAAATGTCGCCCACGATCAACGTGTTCTGTTCTGGGGAAGGGGGCAAAGGCAGGGTGAATCACTTTCTTAAAAAGTATAGCTCAAGTTGGGAGTGCAGAGGGAATGGGGAGAAAACCCTCCCGCTGCCTGTGTCGAAGTGCAGGAGCCCCCACCCCCATACTCACCTGAGTCCAGCCCCTCTGGGGAAAGAAGGGGTGCATGAACTCCCCCTAGTCCACAGGCGCCTCCCTGTGGCCCAAGGCCCTCTTCACACTCCATCTTGTAGCCCCAGCAGGAGCTATTTTCCGAAAAGTGAAAAGCTCTGAAGGTCCCACAATTCATGGTATGTACAGGGGCTCGGAGGAGGGAAACTGCCCAGCTTTCCCCCGGCACAGCTGCAGGGGTAGGGGGTATAGATAAGAGGAGCAGGCCTTGGCCAGGCGTGGTGGCTCACGCCTGTAATCCCAGCACTTTGGGAGGGGGAGGCAGGCAGATCACAATGTCAGGAGATCGAAATCAGCCTGGCCAAGATGATGAAGCCCCGTCTGTACTAAAAATACAAAAATTAGCCGGACGTGGTAGCGTCTACCTGTAATCCTAGCTACCCGGAAGGCTGAGGCAGGAGAATGGCGTGAACCCGGCGGGAAGAGGTTGCAGTGAGCCAAGATCGCACCACTGCACTCCAGCCTGGGCGACAGAGCAAGACTCGGTCTCAAAAAAAAAAAAAAAAAAAAAAAAAAAAAAAAAGAGGAAGGCCTTACTCCGTCCCAAACTGAAAGGATTAAATGGCTTCACCTGGGAGAAGATAACCATCCTGCCCTCCATTGCTACCCCCACATACTGTCCATGTTCTCAGGGGGTACTGTGAGTCCTGGGATCTTTGGGGTTGCCCACCTGCCTGTGCTAGTTATGGAGACCCCCAGGTGTTGAGGCAGGGCTGGGGTGTCCCCTTCCAACCAGGCTGTCAAGGCCCCAACTCTGGGGCAGAGGCAGTGGCAGGGCAGCCAGGGTTGTGCCAGAGCCTGAGCAGGTTGAGGTGGGGTCAGGCAGGGCTGGGAGTCAGGGCAGGGGCAGCAGCAGTGGACCTGCTATGCACACATCTTCTTCTCCAAGGTTTGTGTGCAGAACATCCTGCCCATGCTGCCCCAGCAGCTTCAGTTGGCACCTGCCTCAGTCCAGCCTCTGGGAACCATGCAGCAGCTCCCAGCGGCCCTGCACCCACCACCAGCATCCGTTTCACCTGCAGTTGAAGATCCGTGAGGTGCCCAGAAGATCATGCAGTCATCAGTCCCACGGAGCAGCCTGCGAGGCTGAGGCTCCTCCCACTGGACCGCCCCCCAACTGGCACCACTGCTGCCCCTGCCCCTACTCTCAGCCTCACGTGACTCTCGGGCAGAAGCAGTGGTGGGGCAGCCAGGGCAGCGTCAAGAGTCTGAGCCAGGTGAGGTGCGGTCAGGACCCCCACAGGGCTGGGAGTCAGGGCAGGGGCAGAACAAACCTTGGAGGGGAAGATGTGTGCATAGTGGGCCTGGAGGGCGGCTGTGGCCTAGTGGACAGGAAGAAGCAGTGGGCCTGGAAGAGCTGCATGATCAGGGCCGGCACTGGTCCAGGGTACGTGCAGTGAAGAGGACAGCGCCTTCTCGGTCTCCGGTTCCCTGAGCCTGTCCTCGGCTTCTCCACCTGTACAGGCAAAGGGGAAGCTGTCCCCATCACACGTGGCACACTTGGGGGTGTTGGGCTTTGGACTGCAGCTGGAGCATCTTCTCATCTTGCATTTGGGCGCGGTGGGGTCCTCCAGTGTGGGATCCATGTCCGTGGGGTTCCCTCTGCCCCGACCCCGAAAGCCCAGTCAGTTTCTCTTCAGGCTCTGCCCCCCGGGTGGCTCAGCCCAGCTCCTGCCTAGGAAAGCCTTAGTATTGGGAGGGACCCTGATGACTGAGGAGCCTGGTAGCTCCAGGTCGCCCACACTTTCAGGTCTCTTGCACCAGAAGGTGGCAGGATCCATTGGGAGGAAACAGGCCACCTTGGAAGGCGTCCCTGGGCCCCCATCCCCAGGGGTTGGGGCCGTAGGGGGCCCGCTCTGCTGCGTTGACCAGACTCCTGGGCTTTGAAGGCTCCTGGGCCCAGTAAGAAGGAGGTGGGTGCCAAGGTTGAGGAGGAAGCATCCGAGTATGTGTAGGAGGAGGACAGGGTGTGACCATAGACTGCCAAAAGCTGCAGGTGGATCGGGGGACCCTGGGGGCTCAGGATCCAGCAAGGGGCGGCAGGAGTAAAGGAGGAAGGAATGACAGGTGCAAATACCTTCCCACCAAAGCCCTTGTTGCCCTCTGGCTCCTCCCCAGAGTTGTCCCCACTCTCAGTCGGTCACCCACTCCTTGAACTTGAGATCGGTGTCGGTGGTGCTAAAGCCATCATCAGCAATGACATCATCACCCCCTCCTCCTCATGGATGACCGTGTGCTCTTCGTCACTCGCTATGACCTCGCTGGCCATGTGCTGGGAATGAGCAGCTCACGTGGGCGGCAGCAGGGCTGCCCACGGGTCACCTCCCTCACCAGGGGCTGCAAAGTGGCCTGGAGCTCCATGCTGAGTAGAAGGCTTTGGGCCAGAGTATGATGCAGTGCCAGACACCACCTGTGTCAGTTCCCGTAGTGCCTGACGGTCTATTTCCCTGCCGTCCAGGCTGTGTACCCCGCTGTGGGAGAAGGCTTGGGCCAGGCTGAGCCAGGTTCCCTGACTGTGTGCAGCCGTTCTGCCCCACAGAAGCTGCTCCTTGGTATCCGAGCTCTGGAGTGTTTGGGCTGCAACTGACAGGAGTTCAGAGGACACCCCAGGGGCAGTGGCAGTGCCCGTCTCTGATATGCTCCGCTCCCACGAGCCCTTGTTACACTCCTGCTAGCCCCTGGCTTGTGGGCTTGGCCTCTGAGCTGGACTTCTTTCGGTCCTTGTTGCAAGTGGGCCACCTTCACCTGGAAGGCCAGGTTGTATTTCTGCATCTCATTGGGCCCCAGGGTGTACCACCGCTCGCTCAGCATCTGGCTGACGGTCCGGTTATCCTGGTTGGGATGACCCTGGTGCGCCCCGCCAGGGCCTGGTGCCGCCTGCTGAAGATCATGAGCGCCACTCATGGGCCACCGGATGTGGTCCTTGTCTGATTTGTTGGGGCTGCGTCCATCCTTCTCAGAAGATGAGTCCTGTTCCTTGCGCAGGGCACTGAGGGACTGGGCCTGACATCATCTGAGTGGTAGAGGCAACTGGGTGTCAGGAGACATGATGGAGAGGAAAGCATCATCATGGTCATTCTCTGTCTCACTGTCCAGCAGGGACTCCCCTGAGGGGCCCAGGGCTCCTCCTCCATGGTGGGAGGTGAGCTTTTACCAGGTTCCACCACCCCCAAAGTGTGTGGGGTTGCGGGCCCTGGGCTTTCAGGGCAGGTGGCTCCAGGGGGCTGCCCAGGGTCAACACTCCCTGTCCCACCTGGTGGACGCTCATGAGCAACGGCTGCCAACTTGGCAGGTTGTTTTCTCTGGTTGGAGGCCACTGAGTGACTGGCAGGTTGCTGGGCCTCGTGTGGCTGCAGGGAGGGGTCAGGAAGGGGATGGAGTACCAGGAGAACACGGCCGCAGAGTGACCTTCCACATTCCTCCACACGAACATGCTGACGCCACGGGAGGCCTCACTGAACGCAGGCCTGGGGGCCGAGCACTTGGTCCGGGCAGGGGGTTCCTGGCAGGGGCTCACACCTCCTCGCCCCCTCCTCAGCCAAGGTGGCTTGGGCCCAGAGAAGGGGAGGTTGGAGAGGAGCAGAAGGCCAGGCCTCAAGTTTTGTTTTTTTTGTTTGTTTTGTTTTTTGTTTTTGAAATGTAGTTTGACTCTTGTCACCCAGGCTGGAGTGCAGTGGCACGATCTCAGTGGCCTTCATACCTGGCTAATTTTTTGTATTTTTACTGGAGGTGGGGTTTTGCCATGTTGGCCAGGCTGGTCTTGACCTCCCGACCTCAGGTGATCCACCCACCTCAGCCTCCCAAAATGGGATTACAGGCATGAGCCACCGCTCCCAACTTCATTCATTTTTACTTGAAAAACTCCGTTAAGCATTTTTTTAAGGTAGACCTAGTGGTCCTGAATGCCCTCAGCTTTGTTTGTCGAGGAAACACATTATTTCTTTTTCCTTTCTGAAGGACAGCTTTGTCAGACATAGTATTAGTTGCTGGCAGTTTTTTTCTTTCAGCACTTTGAATGTATTATTCGATTCTGTCCTGACCTGCAAAGTTTCTTTAACTTTTGACTATTTGATTATATTGTGACTTGGTGAGTATCTATTTGGTTTGAACCTCTTTAGGAATCTTTAAGCTTCATGGATTTAGATGTCTAAATCTTTCCCATGATTTAGGCAGTTGTCAGCCATTCTTTAAATAAGCTTTATTCTCCTTTCTCTACTTTCCTTCTCAAACTCCCATAACCTGACAATGGTTTGCTTAATGGTGTCTTGTTGGCTTTCTTTTCTCTGTCTCTTTTTTTTTTCTTTTTGAGACAGAGTCATGCTCTGTCACCCAGGCTGGAGTGTAATGTGTGGTCTCGGCTCACATTGCACTCCAACCTCCGCCTCCTGGGTTCAAGTGATTCTCCTGCCTCAGCCTCCCAAGTAGCTGGGACTACAGGTGTGTGCCACCACACCCGGCTAATTTTTGTATTTTTAGTAGAGATGGGGCTTTGTCATGTTGGACAGGCTGGTCTTGAACTCCTGACCTCTTAATCTGCCTGCCTCGGCCTCCCAAAGTGTTGGGATTACAGGCTTGAGCCACCACACCCAGCCTTCTTTTCTCTCTTTTATTCTTTTTTTCTCTGTCCTCTGACTGGATAATTTCGGAAGATCTATATTCAAGTTTACAGATTCTCTCTCCTGTTGAAGTTGACTATTGTGTTATATCACCCAGTCTGGTCTTGAACTCCTGGGCTCAAGCGATCCTCCCACCTTGGCCTCCCAAAGTGCTGAGTTTACAAGCATGAGCCACTGCATCCAGTCAGTCCCAGCACTTTGGGAAGCTGAGGTGGGAGGATCACTTGAGCTCAGGAGTTTGAGACCATCCTGGGCAACGTACTGAGAACTTGTCTCTATATTAAAAAAAAAAAAAAGTCTTTGGGAGGCCAAAGCGGGAGGATCACCTGAGGTCAGGAGTTCGAGACCAGCCTGGCCATCATGGCAAAACCCCATCTCTACTAAAAATACAAAAATTAGCCAGGTGTGGTGGCACACGCCTGTAGTGGTGATGCATGCCTATAGTCCCAGCTACTCAAGAGGCTGAGGCAGGAGAATCACTTGAACTGGGAGATGGAGGTTGCAGTGAGCTGAGATCGCACCAGTGCACTCCAGCCTGGGCAACAGAGTGAGACTCCATCTTATAAAAGGAAAAAAGAAAGAAAAGAAAAATTCCATATCTGAGTGTTTACTCCTGAGTTTTTGAGATTGTTATTAAGATCGTGCTCTACTGTGATGATTTGGGTTTGTTTGATAATCAGAAAAAAAGCGTATTCTTTTAGGTGTTCAGCCACACTGCTTTGGTGTCACAACTGCACATTGGTTTCACAGCTGCAGGACAAGTTCGAGCATCTTAAAATGATTCAACAGGAGGAGATAAGGAAGCTCGAGGAAGAGAAAAAACAACTGGAAGGAGAAATCATAGATTTTTATAAAATGAAAGCTGCCTCTGAAGCACTGCAGACTCAGCTGAGCACCGATACAAAGAAAGACAAACATCGTAAGAAGCAATAGTTTCTCTTACTATTCTGAGAGCCTTATCATTCTACATCCCATCTTCCTGTGAGTTTGTCTTTGTAGCATTTAACTCTAATTGCAGTTCTCATTTTAAAAACTGGCTTGCTTATTGTATATTTTCCCCAACTAAAGCGTGAACTCCTAGCAGGGCGTGGTGGCTCATGCCTGTAATCTCAGCACTGTGGGAGGCCGAGGTGGGTCGACTACCTGAGGTTAGGAGTTCGAGACCAGCCTGACCAACATGATGAAACGCTGTCTCTACTAAAAATACAAAAATTAGCTAGGCGTGGTGGCTGGGACCTGTAATCCCAGCTACTTGGGAGGCTGAGGCAGGAGAATCACTTGAACCCTGGAGGTGGAGGTTGCAGTGAGCAGAGATCTCACCATTACACTCCAGCCTGGGTGACAAGAGCAAAACTGCATCTCAAAAAAAAAAAAAAAAGGGGGTGAACTTGAAGGCAGGTCCTGTGTCCATCTTTTCAGATTCTGTATCCCAGCACTTAGGACATAGACAAACACGAAGATGACAATCAATATTTGCCAAAATGAAAAAACAAAAGAAACATGTAACATCATGTAAAAGAAGCTGGTTAGGTGGAGAAATTTATTTACCATAGTCTTGCTTGTGGATCCAGTAGTGACTTTTACAGTTTATATCTAAATAGAAGCTGGAGGCTTTGTTGGGGACTCATAGGCATAAAATATTATTTATTATAGAGTTAAATGCTACAAAGACAAATCTAATTAATAGGCCTATTTTCCTTTTTAAATTCTACTCATAATTTCTTCATAGTTTTTATGATAAAAGGTTGGATTTTGATTAGAACTCCCATGATTTTGTGTCAGAATTAAAACTGGTATTAGAATAAATAATTCAAAAGCTAGAGAAAGAGTACAAAGAGAAGCCATGCATTGCATTTGAATTATAATATTATGTCTTACAGATTTGGGGTATATGCTAAAGTTACCAAAGTTGTAGAAAATAAGGCCGGGCATTGTGGCTCACATCTGTAATTCCAGCACTTTGGGAGGCCGAGGTGGGCGGATCATTTGAGGTCAGGAGTTTGAGACCAGCCTGGCCAACATGGTGAAACTCCGTCTGTACTAATAGTACAAAAATTAGCCAGGCGTGATGGTGTGCACCTGTAGTCCTTGCTACTCAGAAAGCTGAGGCAGGAGAATCGCTTGTACCCAGGAGGCAGAGGTTGCAGTGAGCAGAGATTGTGCCACTGCACTCCAGCCTGGGTGACAGAGTGCTATGAGTCACCACACCTGGTATGAGCCACCGTGCCTGGCCCACAATGACTTTTACACATGTTGTTAAATCATCTTACAGATTTTATAATTTGGGGGAAGAAAAGTTTTACTAAATTGTCTTTTAATGGAAACTCTACAAGAACCAGAATCTTTGCTTTGTTCACTTATGTATCCATTCCTAGGCCTAGAAAAATGTCTGACACATAGCGGCAATTATTCATTGAATAAATGGACCCAGCGATAGTACATTGGCTATGCTATATGCATACATTAAAGATGTAGATTATCGACTTTCAAAAGATAATTAATGTAACTTCTTACTGCTTCTGAACATGTTTGTGAGTTATATTGCTGAGGGACCTTTATCTTCTCATTCTTTCATCTTAACCCAGTGTTATAAAATTGAAATCACCAATATTATTCCATATCTAAAATTAATATCTACCTTGTAAAAAATATCACTCTGCTGCATTTGAGAATAGACTTTTTAGGTAATAATGATGCAATCCATAGGGTTTTTTGGGGGCACAGAGGGATTCATGCTAACAGAACATTTTATTTTCTATTTTCCCAGAGCTGTAAAACATGAAATTACGGTAGTATAAGGCATATTTTTACTCTTTTTATAATTTTTTCTAAAAAAAAATTAGTGTTTGTTCCCTATATAACTTTTAACTTTATAGGTAAATATTTGTTTCTTTCAGCTCCAGTTTTATGTGAAATAGAGTTTTCAGATTTATGTAGCATGGAAAGTTTTAATACGTCAGAGTTACTGATTTTTGCCAATCATTTTCTCAATTATTTCTTTTTTATCTTTAGTTGATTTTTTTGTAGTGACACATTTTGTTTCTAGTCTCATTTCCTTTTGTTTATATTCTATATATATTTCATTTTTGGTTACTATGAGAATTACATATAACATCCTAGAGTTATAACATTTTAATTTGAATTTATTTCAACTTAAGTTCAATCACATACCAAAATTCTACTGCTATATATATAGCTCTACTCTTTTTATGTTATTGATGTGACAAATTATATCTTTATTCATTGTATACCAGCTAACAGATTTACAATTACATTTTATGCATTTGCCTTTTAAATTATGTAGAAAATAAAAAGCAGAGTTACAAACCAAAATTACAATAGGACTGTTTTTATGTTTGTTTATGTATTTACCTTTACCAGAGAGCTTTGTATATTCATACAGCTTGCTTATTTACTTACATAGTTATTGCCTAGAGTTCATTTATTTCAACCTGAAGGACTTAACACTTCCTGAATGTCAAATTCAGGGATAAATGGATTTTTTTCAGTTTTAAAAAAAAATCCGGAAATGTCTTAATTTCTCCTTCATTTTTGAAGGATAAGTTTTCCAGCTATATATTTCTCAATTGACAGGTTTCTTCATTATTTTAAATATATAATCCACTGCCTACTGGCCTTCAAGGTTTCTGCCGAGAAATCAGCTGCTAATGTTATCTGGATCCCTATCTGTGAGAGTTGCTCTTCTCTCTGAGTTTTCAACATTCTCCCATTATCTTTTTTTTGTTTGTTTTTGAGACAAATAATTGTACATATTCATGGGATACAGAGTGATATTTTGATACATGTATACAATGCCCAATGATCAAATAAGGATAATTAGCATATCCATCACCTCAAATATTTGTCATTTATTTGTATTGTGAACAGTCAACATTCTTTCTTCTAGTTTTTTAAATTTATAAACATTTAAATTTTATTACAGAAATTTAAATTTTTTGATTCTGAAAAAGTCATATATGTATGCAACATTTTTTATCATTTATTTATATATTTATGCATCTTTCCTTTTAGTTTTGACAGAGATTTTCTATTTTATCATTATTTCAAAAGAACTCTTACCTGTATTTATTTATCAAGTATATTTCCCTTGTTTTTTCCTAGTATATTAATTTATTTACTTATCTTCTAAAAATCCTCCATATAATCTGTTTATTTTGTTTCCTTTCTATAATTTCTTCAATAATTAGTTCTGTTCTATTTTCCATTAAAATATTTAAATCTTGTATGAATTTTTGTCAGATTAGAAATTTAGGGCGTTTCTTAATTTCTCTATACTCTAGCTTTTGACTTTTTTTTTCTGACCTAAGAGGTATTTAGAGCACATTTTAGATTTTTTATTTTGACTAATCATTTAAAATGTATACTAATCTTCAATTTAAATAAAAAACTGGTCTATAGTGACAAAAATTACAAATGAGCCTAACTAATAAATTATCAGCTGTGTTTATATGTATAAGCATGCACAGATTTTGGTAAATATGTACATAGTATATTGGTGAGCTTATTTTTATCATTCTTAACTCATTGTGTAGTCTAAACGTTGGGGAAAAAATAAAATACAATAATCAGATGGTGTGAATAAGAAAATTGTTCTAATGTTTGTAAACCAAGCAACTGTTTTAACTGCTCCCCTCTTCCTGATTGACTTCTAAAAGGGATTGATCCATATTGGGTCCTATCATATACGTCACGGTATAACATCTCCAGCTATAAAATGGAAATTTGAGAATAACTTTGCTGCTACTCAGATACATTTTATTTCAAAAACATACACTAAGGTGTTGCTGTTGGATCTTTCCAAAAACATATTCACACAGAACTTTCAATCACACTGAGCCATATTTGAACAATCTTTCAAGGTCAGCTCTGGCATAAGCTAACATTATACCATTTAACTCAGAAATTTCTTTAGTATTTGATTAATGGGTTTATGTTTGATATGTAATGTAATTTTCTAATGCTAAATCAAGTGGTAATTTTGTTAGTCAAGTTGATTTAGTGGCTTGGGAAGAAAGCTTTTAATGTTCCCCTAATTTTTCTTACCTTTGACATGATCCTTCACATGTCTTATTTTGCTTAGTGATTTTTCTTTTTTTTTTTTTTTTTTGAGACAGGGTCTTACTCTACCACCCAGGCTTGAGTGCAGTGGTGCAATCACAGCTCATTGCAACCTTGACCTCCCAGACTCAAGCTATTCTTCCACCTCAGCCTCCCAAGTAGCTGGTACTACAGGCACATGCCACCAAACTTGGCTAATTTTTGTAATTTTTGTAGAGACAGAGTTTTGCCAAATTCTCAGGCTGGTCTGGAATTTCTGGGCTCAAGTAATCCTGCCTTGGCCTCCCAACATGCTGATATTACAGACATAAGCCACAGTACCTGGCCAGTTTTCTTTTTAAAAAAATCTATTGGTTATTAATTTGAAGCCTTCCTTTTCATAGCTGTGCTCCTTAATTGGGAGCAAACATGAATGGACCACAACTTAGCCAATTTTCTATATACGATCTTTGCCATCCTAATTTAAAGGAATATTAATTCTTTCTTTTCCTCTTTCATTCCACAAACCTCTATTGACTACATCTAAGTTCTAAATGGTGCACTGGATGTTGAAAAAGTTGATGATGAGCAAGAACAAAATTCCTGCTTTCAGGAGACTTACAGTTCAATATGGGAAATATAATTTGTTAAAATATAAAAGTGCAATTGTGTTACATGCTGTACGAAGTACATGTTGACATGTGAGCATATAATAAATGGGCTGGAGGCCAGAGGATTGCCAAAGAGAATGGGCCTCCTGCTGAGATGAAAAGTTGAGCAGGGATTAGTTGGCGAAAGTGGAGGGACGATCCTTTCTAGGCAGGAGGAAGAACATGTACAGAATCTCTGAGGTGTGATGCGACAAAGTCTATATAAAAAACTGAAGAAAGGTCTAATGTGGCTTAAATACAGAAGCTAGTAGGAGAGGAGTTGAAAAGAGGCTGGAGAAGTAGAAAGTGTCTGCATTCTGCAGGAACTTATATTGTATAAAAAGAATTTCTCTTTATTCTAAGTGCAATGTGAAGCCAATGAAGTGCTTTAAACAGGTGATGTGATTTGATTGAATTTATTACTTCACTTAACAAATATTCATTACATGCCCACTGTTTGTCAGATATTGCTGTAGCCCCTGGTGATACAGTAGGGAATAAAACAGGCAAAAATCCCTGTCCTCTTGCAGCTTATAATGGACTGCAATGTTTAATATGTCAGAGGAGGTCCACGGAGGAGTGACTTCTAAGCAAGAATCTGAAAAAAATGAGGATATCTAAGGAGGGAACAAATGGTTCAAAAGCCCTATAATTGCAAGCAGGCATGATGAAGCAATTGCAGTTGTCCTGACTCTCAACACCGTGGAACTCAAAGGAGATGGAAAGATTCCTTCTCTCCCTCATATATTTTCTCTCTTTCTGTCTATATATATAGAATATGAGACATTTCCCTAATCATTATGTGTAATTACAATTACATATATATATGTAATTGTAATTACACATAATGATTAGGGAAATGTCTCATATTCTTCTACTCAGAAATAAGCAATATAGCAATTACTGTTTTTTACATTTTACAGTTACAGTTTCAGAGAAAGTTTGATATTTATCTAAAATTTTTCAATGTATGAACTTTTTCATTTGACAAACCATAATTGTACATATTCTTGGGATACAGAGTGATATTTTCTTTACATGTATAGAATGTGTAGTGATCAAATCAGGGTAATTTCCACTAATTTAAAATGCCACCTTTATGTTATTGTAATTTATATATATACTATATATATACACACACACATATATATATATACATGTCCACATACAGTGTGTGTGTGCACATGTACACACATGCATATGTGTATATAATGCCCAGTATAAGCAATGTGCACAAATAAAATTAGCTAACAGAGATAGTATAGAGTGAGAGGAGAGGCAGATTAATCTTTGAGGAAAAGCACAATTTTATAGCTGAATGGAGAAAGCTGAGGTGGTTTCTAAGATGGAGAATAAGACAAAAAATGTAAGTACGTTGTTTGACTGAATTCAAGAAAGAAGGGTAAAAGAGAAGAAAGTAGTGGTCTTATCATTAAATGCCACAGAGAGGTAAAGATAAAGACAACATATTGTTTTGGGTTTAGTAATTTAAGGGTGACCAAATTCCGTTTTGGAGGAGGAACAGATTCCATGTCCACTAGAATGGAATGAACAAGAAATGGAGGAGGAAAATAGGTAGTTTTTCAAAAGTTTTCAAAAATATGAAAAGAAGAAATGAAGTGGTACTTGGAAGAGATTGTTGAAATGGGAGAGACTATGGTGGCTTGTTTAGAAGCAGTTGAGATAGATCCAATTGAGATAGAGATATTGACTATATAAACAAAAGAATGACAAATTAATAGTGTAATGGATAACTTGACTTTGGCAAATATTGTGAATTTTTGTGAAAGTACAACTAAAAGGCAATGTCACTCCAATAATCACCAGAGTAATCAATTTGCTTATTGCTGTCCCTTTAAATATAGTTCTCTGGTATCAACTAACATGTTTTTAACTAATGATGCTTCTTAAAGAAAAGGGAAAAGACCTTTTTCTTTCTTTCAGTCTTCAATGATTCACTGCTTCATCTCGCTCCACCAAAGATAAATGAAATCTACATCTCTTATACATTAACAATGCATGACAATTTACAAATAGCTAAATTTTTGGAGCTAACTTTAAGTACCTGAATGGAATTTAATCAACCCACTAATCTCCTTCTCACTTCTCAGTTATTTATCAAGTTTATGTCAAGGGACAAGGAAAAATTATCCAAACATTGTTTAAAACAATCATCATTAATTAGTAACACTTATCCAGGGGGGTTTTTAACCTTTCCCCCACTCAAGGATTATTCTAATGTCAGAGTAGAATAAAAAATAAGTGCAGCGATGCTGACTCTTCCAAGCTTAACATTTCTCACAAGTCAATTAGCTTTGTACTGGGAGGAGGGCGTGAAGGGCTGCTTGCGGTAGTTGTGTAGCAGCAGCACAATGGCCGCAGACAAGGAAAACAGTTTCTAGGAATTC